>NC_000021.9:44699336-44853232 GCF_000001405.40 Homo sapiens
GCCACTGCACTCCAGCCTGGGTGAGAGTGAGACACTGTCTCAAAAAAAAAAAAAAAAAAAAAGGGTTGGGGAAAGAAAAGGGGTGCAGCCGAAGGCCCCTCCCTCCTGACTGCAGCCTCTGACTCAGTGCTGCCTTGCACCTCCCAGAGGAAGTGGGTCCTGGTGACCCCATCTCACCCCCAGCTCCTCCAACACACCGTTCTTCTCTTCCCTCTTCCCACAGCTGGCCAAGAACTGCGGTGCTCAGGTCGCTCTCCCTCTGTCCCTCACTCTGCCGGCCAGCCCCTGCTGCGCCTGGCCCTGTAACGCCGTCTCCCTGGGCTTCTGGGATGCGTCTGTCTCAGCTCCTGCACCCACTCCTCTGACTTTTCTCTATGTGCGTTCTCTCCCTGCCCCCAAACTCCAGGTCTCCAACCAGGTGCCTCCCCTGGGCTCCCAGCCACGCTTACGGCGGCCTCCAGGTGTGCCCCCAGACCGAAGGGAAGCTGCATCTGGGCACATCTGAAGCTGAGCTAGCGTCTTCCTCCAAACTGCCCTCTCCCCTGACCGGCTGGGGCAGCTGGACTCCACCCCGTCCCCCGCCCTGCCCTGGCCCTGCCATCTTCACTGAGCTGCCAGATATCTTTGGGGTCTGCCCTGCCTCTCCCCTCCACCATTTCTTTAGCTTAGGGTGATTTGCTAAACAGCTCTGGGCCAGCAGGGCTGCCAACAGTCCTGTCCACAGGTAAGAGCATCCTAGGAGACGCCCCGTGCTTTGAGAGTGCCCCATGACAACAGAGATTCTTCTACAGAATTTTTTTTGGAAGAAAGCATGTTCTTTGTCCAAGAGAAGATGCTGATTTTGGAGAAAGATAGGAAGAACTTGGTGACTTCAGGCGACACTCTGCCTTCCAGTCCAGGGTTCCACCACCAGGAAGGCTGGAGAGCAGGAAGAAAAGGGCTGGCAGCACAAAGGCTGGGGTCGTGCTGGGTGTCACGTGTGCTTGGCAGGGAGAGCCGTTCCTCTGTCCTTGCTGGGGCCCCTCCTCTGCCGACCCCCAGTGCAGTCCCTCAGCCCATCCCTGCAATCCCTCAGCGATGAAGGACGGGAGAGAGGAGGCCAGTCCACACGAGAAGAGCCGAGGGAGCAGAGACTTCCCAGAACCCCCCTTGCCAACCAAACAGCACACAGTGAGAGGGGCCTGGAGGCCCCGGGGGTGCCGCATGAGGCCTTCTATTTTGTCAGAAATTCACGATATCCATGAAGTCCGTGGTTTGAATCTGCCTTGGGGCCGGGCAGTGGGAACTTCACGGTTAAAGAACTCCTGGGGGCCCTGAAGCCTCAGCCCCTCAGCAGTGTCTGGTTAAACCCACCTGCAGCAGGGAAACCTTCCACCTAAAGGCATCCCAGGCTTGCCAGGCTTGAGAGGAAATTCAGGTGTCACTGTTAAGCCTGATACTGCCTCGTGGCCAATAAAAACAGTGGCTGACCTTCAGGAAGCCTTCGTGACCTGTTTTGAACCACGTAATCCTCACGTGGCCTTGTGGGGTGAGTGGACCATGACCCCATCTTGCAGAAAAGGAAACCGCAGCCCATAGGGTGATATTCCAAGGTCGTGCAAGCCAAGTCAGAGGTGAGAGGTGGACAGAGGCAGAAACCAACAGAACCCTGGGAAAGGGTGTGGTGGTGAAATGACACCCCCCAGACAATGTCCCTACCCTCATCCCTGGAACCTGTGAATCTGCCCTTATAGTGAGGAAAAGCACTTTGCAGATTGATTAGATTGCTGATTAAGATCCTTAAACATTTTTTAAACCGACACATCATTATTGTACATATCCATGGAGTTCCCAGTGACGCTTCCATAGGGACAGCGCGGAGTGGTCGGGCCGGGGTGCCCAGAGCTCCCACCATCTCAAACACGGACTGTTTCTCTCTGCGGGGAACATTCGATACCTTCCTTCCAGCGACGTGAAACGATATATTCTTGCTGATTTACAGTCATCCTACAGTGCTATCTAGAACAGCGGTCCCCAACCTTCATGGCACCAGGGACCAGTTTTGTGGTAGACAACTTTTCCACGGACTGGGGAGGGGGATGGTTTGGGGATGATTCAAGCGCATTACATTTATTGTGCACTGTCTTTCCATTATTACATTGTAATTTATAACGAAATAATCATACAACTCACCATCATGTCAAATCAGTGGGAGCCCTGAGCTTGTTTTCCTGCAACCAGATGGTCCCGTCTGGGGGTGATGGGAGACAGGGGCAGACCATCAGGCATTAGATTCTCACAAGGAGCAACAGAGACCCCTGGCATGTGCAGTTCACAGCGGGGTTCGTGGTCCTCTGAGGATCCAGTGCTTCCACTGATCTGGCAGGAGGCGGAGCTCGGGTGGTAAAGCTCACTCACCTGCCACTCCCCTCCGGCTGTAAAGCTCACTCACCTGCCACTCCCCTCCGGCTGTAAAGCTCAGTTCCTAACAGGCCACGGCTGTAGTGGTCCCCGTCCCGGGGTTGGGACCCCCTGCTATAGAACACTAGAACGTGTCCCCCCTGAGCAGCTGCAATTCTGTGTCTTTCGGCAAGTCTCTCCCTATCCTCCCTGCCCTGTCCTTCCACACTCCAGCATCTCCTGCCCTGTTTTCCTTCCGTGAGATCCACGTTCTCTGTCTTCTATCTCTGAGCCAAGTTCAGAGCCCTGAGATATGAGATGATCCTGGCTTAGCCAGAGAGACCCTAAGTGCCGTCACACACGTTCCTATGAGAGGGAGGCAGGGAAACTTCACCCAGGAGAGGCAGCGTCCACATGAGCACAGGGGTGGAGACTGAAGCGATGGAGCAGAGACCACCATCCACCCCACAGAGCAAAAGCTCCAGAGGAACAAAGGGGCCTCCCTGAGCCAGTGCTTCCACCAACTCCTGGCAGGTGGACGACTGCCCGGAGAGCTGCTGCGAGCCCCCCTGCTGCGCCGCCAGCTGCTGTGCCCCGGCCCCCTGCCTGACCCTGGTCTGCACCCCAGTGAGCTGTGTGTCCAGCCCCTGCTGCCAGGCAGCCTGTGAGCCCAGCTCCTGCACGCCCTTGTGCTGCCAGCAGTCTAGCTGCCAGCCAGCTTGCTGCACCTCCTCCCCAAGCCAGCAGTCCTGCTGTGTGCCCGTCTGCTGCAAGCCTGTCTGTTGCAAGCCCGTCTGCTGTGTGCCTGTCTGCTCTGGGGCTTCCTCCCTGTGCTGCCAGCAGTCTAGCTGCCAGCCGGCTTGCTGCACTTCCTCCTGCTGCAGACCCTCCTCCTCTGTGTCCCTCCTCTGCCACCCTGTGTGCAGGCCCACCTGCTGCATGCCCGTCCCCTCCTGTTGTGCACCCGCCTTCTCCTGCCAGCCCAGCTGCTGCCACCCAGCCTCCTGCGTGTCCCTCCTCTGCCGCCGTGTGTGCTCCCACCTGGCCTGCTGAGGCCTCTGCTCAGGCCAGAAGCCCAGCTACTGACGGGCACGTCCCCCAGGGCCAGCCAGGCTCAGGTTCCCCCCAACCTCTCCCACTGCTGACCTCTCAGCACACGCACTAGTACACACCGCACTGGTACACACCACAGTGTGCAAGCTGGCTGACCTCATACCCTACAACCACGGCTTACCTATCCACTACCTCCAAGCCAGGCCCAGGAAACCATGAGACAGCCCTCTCCTATTATTGAAGGGCCCCGGGTGTTCCCTGGTGGAATATTCCCCCATAGCCACAGGAGGTCCCTGGCCCCCCCTGCCCTTCTCCTCCAAGCCATTGGCCGCCCTTGCCCACCACGTGCCTTGCACAATGAATAAACTGGCCTTCCCTGCCTCTGCGTGCTCCTCTCCCAGCCTAGTGTTTATTTCATTCTTTCTCGGGCCCTCTATGCAAACACACCCCTGGCTTCGGCAACCCTAGAGACGAGCCACGTCATGGGAGCATTTCCAGTGGCGCTGAGTTCCCGGCTCCCATCCCCACAGCCCAGGCCTCCTGGATCTGCACCTCCAGGCAGCTCTCAGGGTGACCCTGCTGCAAATCCAGGATTCAGGTGGTGATGTCTCTGATGGCACATCTGGCCAGAGGGCTCCTTGGCAGGAGGGGCCTGGTGCCCCCATGCCTCCCTGTCCCTGGTGAGTTTGAGGAACCCCGGGGACAGGGCCCAGGTTGGCTTCTGTGCAGGGCCCTCTGCAGGCACAGCTGAAGCTGAGTGTCGCTGTGGTCAACCAGCTCCTAGGTGGGCTGGGGTGGGGCCTCCCTCTCCCCGGGAGCCCTGGCATTTTACTGAAATGGCCAACGCCTTCTGTTTGTGCTTGTGAAGGCTAATGGCAACACCTCTTCTGTGGCCCCAGGTCTAGCCGGGCGTGGCAGAGGTCAGAGGGAAAGAAGCCAAAGGGTACATGACCTAGGGATCCCACACAATGGGATCTGGGGCCCAAGCTGGCCACTCTTTGGGGGTTTCCTTTGGGGCCAGTGTTTCCAGGATCCCCAAGGGTCCCACACCCAGCCTCACTCCCCGCCAGAGCCGCCTCCTCACCTGCTGTCCCCTCCACACCACACCAGTGCCACCGCCCAGCTCCTGAGTCCCCCCAGCTGCAGTGGAGCTGGAACCGGCTGGGACTGAGAGGGGTGCACAGGGCTGCAATCCCAGGAGGCCCTGAAATCCAGCAAGATGTTCCCAGGACCCTTAGTGCAGGTCTAAGATCACCTGGCCTCTGTCTGCCCTGGAGAGTGTGGGGCAGATGCCCTCAATTGGGCCAGCTTTTCCAGTGCACTCTCCCTGCAAGGACCCTCAGTGAGAGGAGGGCCCTCCCGCAATTAGAACAGGGTTGGTGTAAATGGGTTCAGACAGACTGGATCCTACCATCCTCTTCCTAGCCCCTGGGGGTGGGGAGGTAGCTGGGACCCTGCCCCCTGCTTCCCTGGGTACCCCACCCCCCCACCACTCTCCAGGGGTCCCTACCATGGAACACGGGGTGAGAGAAGCCAGTTTCCCACTTCCCTGGCTGTTGGGGCCTGAAATTTTCTGTAGCCTGTCAGTCCAGACTTTACCCCCTCTGTGACATTATCAGCCTCCTTCTAGCCAAGTCCACCCCCAACCCCCAGGGAACCCAAACCGTGCGGGGTGGCCCTGACCTGCCAGAGCTGTTGGCCTCCAGCTGGCGGGTAAAACCCACGGCCTTCTCAGAACAGGTTTCTCAACACATGAGACAGAACACACCAGACTTCCAAGGGGAACACCTGGATGGAGCTGGTTACCCAGATTGTTCAACACCGAGGGGCAGCGGCTTGAGGGTCTTTCCACGAAGGCTTGGATTAACAAGAGGAGCAGAGGTCTCTCCAGGATGGGCCCACAGGAAATTTCCAGAAGTCTACCACGGGGACCAGAAGAGGAGCCTCGGTGGGTGACAGTGGCAGGTGCTGCCCACTCAGCCATGCGCTGCCTCCACACCCATCACTGGGGAGATGTTTTCAGGAGAAAGATGCAGCAGCTCCCACCCAGTGTCACGTCACGGCCCCGGCACGCCATCCACGGACCCTGGATGGAGCCCAGCTGCCTCCGGGAGCGCAGTTTAACTACAAAGGAGCCCTGGCTGCCCGCCCCGCCCAGACGCACTGACCTGTTGTTCTCTGTGGCTGCTGATGGCCCATCCCCAACCACTGGTGACTCTTCCCTGGGGCCCCAAGCTCAGCCCCTAACCCCCTGTTGCTGGAAGTCAGGGACCCCAAACAGAGAGACCGGCTGAAACCATGGCAGAAGAACGTGGATTGTGAAGATTTTATGGACATTTATTAGTTCCCCAAATTAATACTTTTGTAATTTCTTATGCCTGTCTTTACTGCAATCTCTAAACATAAATTGTAAAGATTTCATAGACACTTATCACTTCCCCAGTCAATACCCTTGTGATTTCCTATGCCTGTCTTTACTTTAATCTCTTAATCCTGTCAGTTGAGGAGGGTGTATATCATTCCAGGACCCTGTAATAATTGTGTTAACTACAAAAATTGTACAGCATGTGTGTTTGAGCAGTATGAAATGTGGGCACCTTGAAAAAAGAACAGGATAACAGCAATTGTTCAGGGAATAAGAGAGATAACCTTAAACTCTAACCGCCGGTGAGCCAGGAAGAACAGAGCCATATTTCTCTTCTTTCAAAAGCAAATGGGAGAAATATCGCTGAATTCTTTTTCTCAGCATGGGATATCCCTGAGAAAGAGAATGGGCACCTAGGGGTAGGTCTCTGAACTGGCCCCCCCGGGGCGTACCTGTCTCTTATGGTTGAGACTGCAGGGGTGAAATAAACTCCAGTCTCCCATAGCACTCCCAGGCTTATTAGGAAGAGGAAATTCCCACCTAATAAATTTTGGTCAGACCGGTTGATCTCAAAACCCTGTCTCCTGATAAGATGTTATCAATGACAATGGTGCCCGAAACTTCATTAGCAATTTTAATTTCGCCTTGGAGCTGTGGTCCTGTGATCTCGCCCTGCCTCCACTGGCCTTGTGATATTCTATTACCCTGTTAAGTACTTGCTGTCTGTCACCCACACCTATTCGCACACTCCTTCCCCTTTTGAAACTCCCTAATAAAAACTTGCTGGTTTTTGCGGCTTGTGGGGCATCACAGATCCTACCAACGTGTGATGTCTCCCCCGGACGCCCAGCTTTAAAATTTCTCTCTTTTGTACTCTGTCCCTTTATTTCTCAAGCCAGTCGATGCTTAGGAAAATAGAAAAGAACCTACGTGATTATCGGGGCAGGTCCCCCGATAACCCCCAGCTGCAGATCGAGGCCTAGTGCGAGCACAGGTCCCCCCAGACCCTTCCCAGTGCCCACCAACCGGCGGCCTAGGCCAGGTAGAACTGGCAGCGCCTCCCCTGCTGCAACACCAGGCTCTGGTAGAAACTTCAGAAAACATGCACCGGCAAAACCAAGGAAGGGTGGCTGCGTCCCGGGTTCTTCCGCGCAGCTGTGTGTACACGCATGCACACACCCACACGCACACACCCACGTGCACACCCCCATGCACACGCACCCACTTGCACGCCCATGCACGCACACACGCGCGTGCACCCATGCGCACGCACCCATGCACACACACGCGCGCACACACCCACGTGCGCACCCACATGTACACACCCACGTGCACACACCCACGCGTACACACCCACGCGCACACACCGCTGTCCCCAGCCGTGCAGAACGATCCTCCCTGAGTCCCCGGCTCCGACCCACACGCAGCACTCGCTAAACGCTTCCCACGCAGTCGTTTTGCTGGGTTGCGCTTCACCCACTTCTCAGAGGGGGCGGCCGAGGCAGAGGTGTCGGGGATCGAGCAGCTCCGGGCCTCAGGGGTCGCCCCGCCACCGTTTTCCTTTCCCAGATGCTGGGACGGGGGCAGGGAGGGGCTCCCCAGGCTGAACCCGACTAGGTCACCCTAGAAGCGAGGCGAGCTTCTCTTCTGTTTTTCTTCGGCGCCCCTGAGCCCCTGACAGTGCCCAAGCTGCCCATGGGATTGGATTCGCCAGAGCCTCCTACGCAGACCCCACCCAGGGCCAAAGCCAACCCCAAGCCCCACCACCTTGGTGGTGTGGGATGAAAAGTGAGCCATCGAGAGATGGGGTCCCCCCACCCCCAACCCCTCCAAGGACAAAGGCGGGCTGGGAAGCACCCGCTTTCACGTCCGCCCCTGCCCGGCTTTCCTAGCGGAATTGGCGCCGGCATCAGTTGGGGGTTGTGGGATCAGTGAGGAATCCCGTGGGGTCGCCTCCATTTATCAGTTGTGTGGGGTTGGGCGAGCACCCCTAGCCCCAGCCCAGGCGATCAGGGCGCGAAGCCCACTGGACGCGGATTTGGGATTAGGACGGGGGTGACAGCCAGGAGGACCGCACCTGCCCTCCCCACTCCTGCCGCTCCACCCCTGCCCCCACCGCAACACCAAGGTCTCCACCAGGAAGATGGGGGTGGGGAAAGGACGCGGGGTGGGGGGGGGTGCGGGGAGAGAGGACACAGGGTCGGAAGGGTGAGGGGTAGTGGCAGAGGCGGAGGCCGAGGCCACGCAGCTGCGGGGCGCAGGGAGGGGCAGAGGAGGGGCGTTCAGATGGGAACCTAGTCCAGACCCGTCGGGGCCCTCGTGTGCGGCTCGTTATCCTGGAACCAGAGAGGCTGGAGACCCTTGGCTTGTCTGGAGCGGAACCGTAGTGTCCAATAGAGTGTGTGGGGCTCAGCCCTAAAGCTAAACATTCTTTATTTCCTGATGACCATGGGGGCGGAGCGGGGGAAAAGCCCTGGCCTTATAGTTTAGAATTTTATAAAAGGAAAGGCGTGGCCACTGACAATTTGCGCTTCAGGAGTCCCAGAGTGACCGCCTGGCTCGGAGCAGGGAATGAGGGGGTCCTTAACTCTGAGATTTGTTTTCTGAGAGACAAAGGTGATGGGTGAGGCGGCTAAGCCTCTGATTCTCTATAGGTGGCGGTCATTCATTTCAGAACATGAATGGATTCAGTAAATAAACATGATAGAAAAATGCCACAAGCCCTAGGCCCATTGGAGTGGACTGGACAGTCTGTTCCCAGTGTGTCCCTCAGCCTCGGTCCCCCACCCTTCCCGGAGCCCTGGGGGTCACACACATCCCTCCTGGCTGCCTAGCCTGTGCCCCCCGATTCCCCCCCTCCCCGCCCCGCGCGTGCACACACACACACACACACACACACACACACACACACACCACACAGCACGAGGCGACAGAGATATGAGAGAGAGCGAGCGAGAGAGGACGGGAGAGAGAGGGAGTGCAAGTGTGCGCTGGGGGTAACCCGTGCATGCATGCATTGGGGGTAACAGGCTGGAGCTCAGATCCCTCCCCCAGCCCCCAGCAGGGGGGACTGCAGGCTCCTGGTCTGAGTGGGGAGCTGGGCCCCCTGGACAGAGGACTGGGCTGCGGGGTCAGGAATGGGCACACTTCCTAACTGCAGGACACTCTAAGGGCTTTGGTCATGCACACGCAGCCAAGAGAAGGTGTCGCTGGCACACAGCCTTCCAGGAGCGGACTTGGAGACCTCGCCAAGGACCAGGACTCCCCAGCACTCACACTCCCTTAGGCGCTGAAGTCCAGAGGACAGAGGTTGAGGGCAGAGCTCCTGGGAGCACCAGTGGAAGTAGGAGGGCTGGGCTGGAAAACCTCCCCCAACCTCCTATTGCAAAGAGGCTCCAGCCAGCAGCCTCCACACCCCAGTGATCTTTTAAGATGCAAATCTGCGCCATCATTTATTTCCTCAGTGCCTTCTCCAGCTCCTGGGATGCACACTGCCCGTCCCCAGGCCCAGAGACCTGACCACCCTCATTCCTCCCTCAGCCCACCCTGGGGTCTCTCCACCAGCTGACAGCCTTCCTGCAGTCCCCTCCCCGAATGCTGCTCCCTGAGGCCCTCCTGGACACCTGCAGGGCAGGCACAGCCCGCGGGACCTCACAGCACTTGCTCCGGGCAGAGCTGCAGTTTGGCCAAGTTGCCAGCTCCGTGTGGGCAGGGGCCCTGGCCTGTGGCTGCCACATCCCGGGTGGGGGCACGGCCTTTCCTGGCGTGGATGCTGAGCAAACGTAGGGGGAAGGGGAGTGAATGAGGAGAGCCAGGTAGCTCAGGGGCTGAGGCCTCACTGAGCAGGGTCCCGCGTGACCGGTCCCCACCGCTGACGGTTCCTGGGGTAACACTCAGGACAGGGAGAGGCAATGGAAAGAGACGTGGCCGCCCTCGCATCCTGCAGCTCCCGCACTCCCAGCCTCCCAGCCTCCCACCCAGCCCCCCAGAGCCCACCAGTGACCCCGCCCACTGGGTCCTCAGATGGCTCCCACGGGATCTCCTGCCTTGATCTCCTGTCCACATGGAGGTGAAGTGGGTTGCTCTGAATGAGGGGTGCCGAGCCTAGGGCGCAGCCCACTCTCCTGGGTCCGCAGCATCACGCAGCCCGGACCACAGGCTCCTTACAAGAATCGGAAGGGTCCCTGCAATCGCCCTTCGCACTGAGGCTTCCTACTGTGTGGTGTAAAAACACAGGCTTGTCCTCCCTTGCTGCCCACGGGGCTGGAGCCGCCTGAAAATCCCAGCCCACAACTTCCCCAAAGCCTGGCAGTCACTTGAATAGCCAAATGAGTCCTAGAAAGCGAGAGACGAGAGGGGAATGAGCGCCGAAAATCAAAGCAGGTTCCCCTCCTGACAACTCCAGAGAAGGCGCATGGGCCCCGTGGCAGACCCGAACCCCCAGCCTCGCGACCGCCTGTGACCTGCGGGTCAACCACCCGCCGCGGCTCCACGCCGTGGGCACAGACTCAGGGAGCAGGATGAGAAAGCTGAGACGGCGCAGCCACGGCCCGGTGCCTTCACGCGCACAGCGACACAGCCCCAGCCAGCGGGGCCCACGCTAAGGCGGAATCCCACAGAAGCCTACAGAGCGAGCGCGCGCCTGTGCTTCCCAAAACGGAATGGAACCAAGGTGACTTCTACAGAACGATCTGAAGCCCTGGCTGGCCCTTATGCTAGTCTCTTGGGAGCGTTCCAAATGCAGCTCAATATTACTTACTTGACTTTTATCTTTCCTCCCTGGTTCGTGGTATTTATAACTGGGTCATCTTTTAACTATTTGCAACGTAGCTTCAGGGGAGAGGGGGAGGGCTTTATAAATAACCTGTATTATTATTATGCAGGTTGATTCTGTTCCCTGAGCTAAAGGGAACATGAAAATACATGTCTGTGACTCATGCCCCCCCACCCCCACTCCAGGGTGTGCTGAGGAGTCTCTCAGCTGCCCCGGGGTCCTCGAGCAGGGGAGGGAGAAAGGCTGGCGCTGCGCCCTCCATCGCGTGAAGCCAGGGGATTTTGCTCTGCGACAAGCTGACTTGGCTCTCGTATTGTTTGCAGAATCACCCAGTTCCAAGGCAGTCCCTGCGGGCAGGTGCAGCTGTGCGGGAGCTTCAGTCCTGTCCCCAACACCCAGGCAGTAATGGTTCCAGCACGGAAGGTCTACCTACCTCCCACTGCACAGCCCGAGGGCTGTCCTGGAGGCACAGCCATCCGTCCCTGGGTGGGCAGGCACGTTTATGACCCCCACCCCCACCCCCACCCCCCACGCGAGTCAGCACGTTCCATACTCGGGTGATCGTGCTCATCCCCTGGTCATGTCATCGGGATCTGAGTGCCATCCGAGCAGAGAGCTGTGGCCCGGTGCCGGGGGTGGACTTCATCTATTCCAGGGAACCAAGGATGCATGATTTGCAAACAAAACCAGAAGCGCAAGCCATCTCCTCGCCTCCCCTGATAGCCGTGCTGCGGAGCCTGAGTGCTGGAGTCACTAATTTACTGTCCAGTAACTGAGTTTCTAGCGACCAGGTCTAGTTGTCGTGTTACTTTATTAAATTTTGGTTTGATAAGTAAAATCCCTCAGTAGAAACTCTAGAAAAGTATTAGCGTGTCATGGTCATGAGCAAGCCAAACAGCCTTTCTAAAAGGTGGGAAGGAGACCCCCAGGCTTCGCCAGGACCCCCCAGTGAGCCAGCCCAGGGCTCTCCACTCAGACCAGATTACGCCCCAAAGAACCGAGCCCTTCACTCCAGAGGTGGTTGTGTTTGGGGCTGTGTCTGTGTCTCCAGCTTTTTGCTCATGTGGGGAAGGAGCAGGGCCGGTGTGGCCCTTCGCTTTGCTGAGTGCAGGCTGGGGGCACCTCCACCAGCTAAGGAAATGGCTCGTGCACAGTAGCCTCCCGGGCTGCTGCGACTTCATTCTTCATTCCCAAAGCAGGTGTCAGCCTTTCCCGGGAGGCCCAGCAGGTAAGCACTTGTGGAGGCCCCGGTGGCTGCTGGTTAGCTCTTGAAGCTCGTCCCCACCCTGCGTGCGTTCTAAAGAGCCGCGTTTCTATTGCAACTGCCTGCCCTGCGCTTTCATCTTCCCCACCTGTGCTCCTCCCGCCTCTGCCCATCTCCACAGGGTGCTACCTGCCAGTCCTGCCAAAGCGTCCTCGGGCACCGCGGCTTGAATCAGTGTTAGAAAGTGGCATTTGTGACTCGACACCCCTCCCAGCTCCCCGGCAAGATACCCCCGCCCGAGTTCCCATGCCCCTGCCTTACCTGTGCAGGGCTCCCAACCCTGCGTGCCGTGGCCGGGGGCCGCCAGGGGCAGCACAAAACACAGACTCAGCAGGGCAGACATGAGGGGCTTGGGTGCCAAGCTCCATCCAGGGCTCCGCTCAGCCTGCAGGGAAGTGGCTGCTCCTCAGACGTCTGCGTCAGCCTTTCCAGGGGCGGCCGCGGGGCCCCCGGGGGTCACTGCGACGGCCACATGCCAGCGGCCTAAGGCGGGGACAGAGGTGGCCCTGGCGGTCGCAGTGGGGAAGCTTCTGGTTGCTGCCTGCGGGAGGCAGGTGGCCCCTGGCAGGTTGGGCTGCAGCCGCTGGTTTATCTCTTCATTTCCCTGATGGGCTTGGGCCCTGCGTGCAGGTGACAGGTGATAACAATCTCGGCCCGGCCTGGGATTAGTCGCTGGCAAAGCACACTTTCCAAAAGGAAAGACAGAAATAGATCGTGCTGCGGAGAGCTGAGAACAAGCCAGAGAAACTTAGGAGACCCGTTTCCCTCAGGCGCAGGCTCCCTGGGCTCACCGCCTTTTAGGACCAGGGGCACAGGCGACCATGGCAGGCCGGGAGCGGGTGGGGCGGGTGCACTCTGGCTGGGGGTTTGGGCAGCAGGTCCCCACAGTCTGCTGGAGGGTCCCAGAGGCAGGTCGGGGCTCTGCTAGGGGGTCCTAGAGGCAGGTCGGGGCTCTGCTGTGGTGGGGAGGGGGGGTCCCAGAGGTAGGTCCTGTGCTCTGCGGGGGGTGGGGGGTGGTCCTGGAGGCAGATCCCAGGCTCTGCTGGGGGTCTAGGCGGCAGGTCCCGGGCTCTGCTGGGTCCCCCGGCGGCAGCGGCCGTCCATCCCCAGGAGGGGCTGGGCTCCCTCGGAGGGCTTTTTATCTGGTGCCCAGCCCTCCCGAGGGTGTGTGGGTTTGTCAACTGTTGGGTTTCAGGAATTTCCCTCTGGAGGGAAGTCGGTCCTTAAAGGGAACAGCTAATGAGAAGGAGTGGGTGAGTGTCCCTCAGGGAAGGGGCACGGCCATGGTCACTCATCCAGAGCCGAGGACCCTCGCATCTGACCTCTCGACACTGCAATGGGCATGCCACTCGAGGGGAGCAGCTATTAACTAGAAGTATTCTTTTTACAAAAGTGCCCTGCCCCCCTACCCTCTCCAAACAGCACTGAACGCAGCATTCTTGCAGAAATCTCCAACGCAACTGGGTGCTGCGTTTCTGTGCCTGGTGTGGAGGCCCTGGCAAACTGGTCTGAGGCCGATGGCTTTCCCTGGTTCACAGGCCCACAAAGTGCACACACTCCTGCTAGTTTCAGAAGGAAGCCCCCACTCTGGGACCTCTGACACAATGAGTTTTCCAAGAGCATAGACCCTGTCATTAGGGCTTGTGGAGAGAGACAGAGATGGAGGGAGGGAAGGAGAAAGGGGCCGAAGAGAGGGACAGAGACTGGGGAAAGACCTAGAGGGAGAGGGAGAAAGTGGGGAGGCACAGAGAGCTCCTGGGGCTCTGGAGGCTCTTCCCATAAACAGCCCCTGCGATGGGACAGGCTCATTCTGTCTCCCTCTCGCTTCCTCTTTTACCCGGCCCTGCCCCCAGGGATATTAATTCATAGTTAATATTAATTCACAGATATTAATTCGTAGTCCTATTTATGAGGCTTGAGTTAACTGGCATCATATGAAGGGAGGTTGAAGGTCTCCCATTATATGTGACTCCTCTTCCAGCACCCAAGTGAGCCCTGGGGTGGGGTGTGTCTCCCTCACCCCCCAGGACCCCCTGCCAGCTCCGGTGGGCATGCAGTGCCAGGACAGAGGCTTCCTGAGTGGGCTCCCCACCCCACTGGGGCTCAGCAGCTGGAAACGCTCCACATAGCACCATTCCTGACAACCCTAACCTAATGAGGGACGACGTGGTTCCTCAGAGGAGCGAAAGGCCTGATCGTTGTGTAAATGGAATAAATGGAGTCTTCCTCTTTTGTGTCCCAATCCATGAGAACTTTGTCCTGGGCCAGGCCGCTCCCAGGCCAGCTGCGGGTCACAGTGGCCTCTGAGACCACGCCCCTGAGGGGATGGGGACTCCCCCCAAATGATGGGCAGGTGGCACTCCAGAGCTAATTTAAACAATCACAATTAAGCTGCCTTGAACCCTTCCGGCAAAATTTTTCTTATGTTACATTTGATGCAGTAGCACTAGTAATAGCCTCAAAGATAACTAAGGGTGAGCCAGTGGAAATCCTCCTCACATACGAAACTTCACAAAGATGTGCTGAGCGCAGGAGGAAAGCTCAGAGTTCCCTCCTCTACAGCTCCCTGTGTGACCCTGGACAAGTCACTTACATTCTCCAAGGTTTAACTTCCACGTCTGTAAAATGTGCCTAGGAGGACACATGTGGTAGGGCTGTCCTATAAATTAAGTGATAGCTATAACGTACCTAAATCAGCATTTCTGGAACCACGACCCAGGGAACACCAGCTCCAAAATGCTCGATGAGAAAAAGCAGGTGCATTTGCAGGTGGACTCCACAGCCCCTTCCTCAGGGACACAAGCTTGGCTCACCCACGCGGAGCTCTGAGACATCAGTGATCAGAAGCCTGCTTAGGCTGGGCGAGGTGGCACCCGCCTGAAATCCTAGCAGTTTGTGAGGCCGAACTGGGAAGATTGCTTGAACCGAGGAGTTCAAGACCAACAGTGACAACATAGTGAGCCTCCATGTCTACAAAAAATTCTAAAAATTGGCTGGACGTGATGGTGTGCACCTATAGTGCCAGCTACTCAGGAGGCTGAGATTGAAGGATCACTTGAGCCCAGGAGGTGGAGGTTGCCGTGAGCCATGATCATACCACTGCACTCCAGCCTGGGAGACAGAGGAAGACTGTCGAGAGAGAAAGAAAGAGGAAGGAAGGAAGGAAGGAAAGAAGCAAGGGAGGGGAGGAGGGAGGGAGGCAGGGGAGGGGAGGGGAGGGGAAGGAGTCCCCACCCAAATCTCATGTCAAATTGCAATTCCCACATGTTGAAGAAGGGGCCTGGTGGGAGGTGATTGGATCATGGGGGTGGTTTCCAATGCTTTAGCACCATCCGTCTTGTGCTGTCTCATGATGGAATTCTCATGAGATCTGTTTCTTCAAAGGTATAGGGCATTCCCCTTTGCTCTCTCTCTCTCTCTCCTGCTCCACCTTGGTAAGATGTGCTGGCTTCCCCTTCACCTTCCGCCATGATTGTAAGATTCCTGAGGTCTCCTAGCCATGTTTCCCGTTAAGCCTGTGGAACTGTGAGTCAATTAAACCTCTTTTCTTCGTAAATTACCCAGTCTCAGGTAGTTCTTTATAGCGGTGTGAAAATAGACTAAGCAAGAAAGAAAGAGGAAAAGAAAAGAGAGAAATCCTCCACATCATGTGTATCAAAGTCTCATGGAGACGAATCCCCAGAACCCACTAAGAGAAATGCATGTGCAAAGAAGAAAGCATGTCCCTGCCATAACATCAGACATCAGAACTGAGCTTCACTCCCGAGAAGCAGGTTGGGTAAGTGCTGCATTGTTAACAAGGGAATTCACGGGGCACCAGGCCCTCACAGCATAGGAAGGAACGGCAGCCCATCCCAGGTCTGCTAACTCTGCCTCCAAACGACAAAAGAGAAAATGTTCCAAGAACTTCCCCCAAACACATCCTGGTGCAGGCTGTCACTCAATTTGTCTGCTTCAAGGGAAACAGAGACGATCAATAGAAGAGGAGGAGGGCTCCATCTATCCTCTAAGGACACAGGTTGTTAATCAAGTCAGATCAGTAACAAACCCCAGGAGGTCATCACGGGCTTCATCAAGCTGCAGAAGTAACCCTTAGCGTGTCATTGTTTGGCCAAAGGCGGCTGTGAAGTGTGTCCATGTCTTTAAATATTCAACATGCCCCAACCAGGGAACAATGCATTCTCCAAGAAAACAAGGAACAGAGCTCAAAGAGAAACTGAAAATGATAACTTTATGTTACAAAAATAACACTCTTACATTCACTCCTCCAGTTTTGTGTTTTATTAAACTAAACCATCACTTCTGTGATCTATGAACCCCAGAAGGACTTTGTATTTTGGTTTTTGTTGTCTTTTTTAGAGATAGTGTCTTGCTCTGTCACCAGGCTGGAGTGTAGTGGCAAGATCATGGCTCACTGCAGCCTGGAACTCCTGGCCTCAAGTGATCCTCCTGCCTTAGCCTCCCAAGTAGCTGGGACCAGAGAGGCACATACCACCATACCCAGCTAATTTTTAATTTTTTTGTAGAAATAGCATCACTATGCTGCCCAGGCTGGTTTTTAATAATTTAAAGACACAAAAATTCTTCCAGGATACACCATCACTTGGTATATAATGACCACTGTTGTATGACATTTGAAAAGGTATCTAAAAAAAAGAGAAGGCACACACGTGGTGTTTGACAATGAGTTTAGATAGACTGGGGAGTACTTGGCAAGCCTGGACAATGAGCATTAGCCAACTCTCTGGGTGATATGGCCTGGCTCTGAGTCTCCACCCAAATCTCATGTTGAATTATAATTCCCAGTGTTAGAGGAGGGACCTGGTGGGAGGTGACTGAATCATGATGGTGGATTTCCCCCGTGCTTTTCCCGTGGTAGTGAGTGAGTTCTCAGGAGAGCTGATGGTTTAAAAGTGTGTGGTGCTTCCCTCCCTTGCTCTCTCTCTCCTGCTCCACCGTGGTAAGACGTGCTTGCTTCCCCTTCACCTTCCACCATGATTGTAAGTTTCCTGAGGCCTTCCATTCATGCTTCCTGTTAAGCCTGTGGAACTGTGAGTCAAATAAACCTCTTCATAGATTACCCAGTCTCAGGTAGTTCTTTATAGCAGTGTGAGAATGAACTAATACACTGGGGTTATATGCTGTTGGGCCAGGCCATCCAAGGCTGGGCTCCCCATCATTGAGCAGTTGGCTCCATCAGTCACTGAGTCAACTGACCAGGCACAAGTGAGGTCCATTGTCTCCAGAAAATGCAGGCTAGAATTCCAATTTGAAAGTCATTTAGATCTCATTAGTTATTTAATAAGAGAATAAGAGATTATTTTCTCACATAAAGAGTTCTCTTTTTTTTCAAACAAGAAATACTGTAGGTCTTTTATATGACTAAGAACAACATAATTATTAATCTTGACCTCCAAGGAGAGGAAATTTTGGCTCTTAAAATCTAACACTAGAATCTGACCCTTGACCCATTACATTAGGGTTCCCATTTATTTTTTTTTTCTTTTGAAGAGATCCTTAAATAGTAGGGTATTACCCTTTGTCTGCTTTATCCTGATTGCTTCTGTGTGTGTGTGTGTGTGTGTGTGTGTGTGTGTGTGTGTGTGTGTGTGTGTGTGTGTTTAGAGATGGGGTTTCGCCATGTTGCCCAGGCTGGTCTTGAATGCCTGAGCTCAAGTAATCCACCTGCCTTGGCCTCCCAAAGTGCTGGGATTACAGGTGTGAGCCACCACGCCCTCCCAAAGTGCTGGGATTACAGGCATGAGCCGCCACGCCTGGCCTGCTTCCCTTTTTTGGATGCTTTGTTTTACCTTGTCATTTTGCCAGGTGTTTAAAATGTTCATTTAGTCAGCAATATTTTCTTTGAGACTTTATGGGTCTTAAAATACAATTTTTATTCTAATGCTCACTAAACTTGGAGACAATTTTTGAATTACAATTTTTAGACTTTTTTGCTATTGAATTGTATGTGTCTATTTAGATCTCTCTTCCATCTGGAATGTGATTTTGCATATGGAGTGCAGTGAATCTAACTCTGTTTCCAGAAAGTCATTATGCACATTCCATTTATTACATACTTCTTTCCCACCACCTTGAAATGTCACATTTATGATTAATTAGGCTTCTATATATACTTGGATCTATTCCATTAATCTTGGCTCTATTCCATTAATCTTGGCTCTATTTATCTCTGTCAATTTCCTTTGCCAGCATTATATTATTTTAATAACAGTATTTATAGTAAGGGTTCATACTGATAATATATGCATTAGTTTCCCTTTTCAAAAATGTGTTAGAAATTATAACATACTTACTCTTCCACATGGACTTTAAAAATTATTGGTTTCCATCTGCACCTCCCAAATCAAAATCAAACAAGGAAAAAACACTATAGAAATACCTATTAGAATGGCAATACCTCCATAGATTAATTTGAGAATGGTGGACATTTTTATGATATGAAGTCTTCCCGCTGAAGATATGTTTATTCCAATCTTCAATTATTTTTTTAAATTATAGTTATGACTGTAGAGGTCCTGTATTTTCTCTGTAAAGTTCTTCCTATAAATTTCTTTGTGATTTCATCATTATTGTAAACATATTCCCCCATTTCTATTTGTAATTGGTTATTGCTTGTATAAAGAAAATTGTTTCATTTTTTATAGTTATATCTAGCAACCTTGAAGTTACTATGTGATTTTAGAATCTCTTGTTTTTCTAGGATAAATAATTTTCCTCTTCAGTTTTACTATGTGTACCAATAGATTTGTTTTCTTATTTTATAGCATGAACTAGAGCCTTCAAAACAAATGTTGAAAATAGTGGCAATAGTAGACTTCTTATTTCATTCCAAATTTCAATGGTAATGGCTGTGGGGTTTGGTAGTCATTAACATATTAAAGAATTTTCCCTCTTTTCCTCTCAGAGTAGGAATGGCTGCTGAATTTTCTTAAATGCTGTTGCACATCAGTTGATATGGTTTCACATTTCCAATTTTAGTTGTTAATGGAATTAATTACAAGTATTGCTTTCCTAATGCTGAACCTCCTTACATTCCTGGAATAGATTACACAGAGTGAGGATGCATTTTTCTTTTAATATACTGCTGAGTTCAGTCTGATGTCGCCTTTATACACATTCTTCTCTTCTTAGTGCTGTTTCCAGGCAGTCCCCTCAGGCTTTGGTCTTCCCTAAATGCAGAGATTAAGAAATGGGTGCCACAGCCCACCCCTCTCCACTGAGGTGGGAAATGTTTCCCATCTCAAAAATGACCCCCCATCCACGGGTTCAGGCTAGAAATCCTCAAGTCATCCTTGGCATCTCTCTCAGAAAGACCCACTGAGTTTAACCTCAAGCACTCCTGCTCTCCTTCCTGGCCACCTTCCTGGTCCAGCCACTTTCGTTGCCCATAGCCTTCACTGCCCAATAGTCTCCCACATCTCCTTCAGGTCCCCTGGATCTATTCAGAGCAGTCTCTGCAAAACCCAGAACTGGTTAGGCCAGAACTCCCTTCAAGGACTTCTGGTTGCCCCCAGAATAAAGACGACATTCCAGGATGTGACCTATAGGGCCCTGGAGTGGTCTCGCCTGCCACCCAGCTGCAATTTCAGCCCTGCACCTGCCCTCCCTTTTATGCTGCAGCCACTAGGGTCTCCCAGGCACGCATCCATGATGAGCTTCCGCCTACCAAGGCTGCCCCCAGGCTGGGCCCTCTCCCTGAACACCCTTCCTCTGTCCCCATCCCAATTAACTCCTCTGCGGAAAGCCACCCCATTAGGAGCTCTCACTGCACTATGTGCTGCCCCTACTTCAGGGTGGTGGTTTTCATCCCTTGTTTAGGTGATCATTGTGTGTGTTTTTGCCCAGACTGGAAGCTCCAGGTGGCCCAGACCATGCTTCTTTAGGTTCAGCCTTGTATCTTCAGTGCCTGCCATTCAATAAATGTGTAACCAATCAGTGAATGAACTCATTATCTTGACTGTGGGCTGATACTAAGATTATGCTAGCTTTATAAAATTAATTGGAGTGCTTTTCATGCTTTTATATGGTCTAGAATATTTTGGCTAATAAAATTTGTTTCTTAAAGATAAACTGGAACTCGTTTGTGAAAACTTTTGAGCCTTCTTCACCTTGCAACATTTAAAACACTTTTCCAGCCTACAGAAAATTTGACAAACACTCTTCACCCCAATGCACTGCTAGTTACTACTTTGTCACATTTGCTTTCTCTCTCATGTCTACATGTGCCCATGTAAACTCTTTTTTGTTGTTGAATCATTTAGATGTAAATTATTAACATGATTTTCACTCTTAGATATCTCTGCACTGTCACCTCAAAATAAGGACACTCCAAATTTCTACAATAAGATTATCACATCTAAGAAAAATATCGTTGATCCCATAAAAATAGCTAATATACACTCTACATTTCAATTCCAGCTGGGGACTCTTCAGGTGGTAAATGCTTTAAACTTTCATATTTCTGTTATGATTATTGGTTTATTCTGGTTTTTTACTCTTTCATGAGATAATAGTGATGACATAGTTTTCTGGAAAATCACCTACTTCCTCCAAATTTTCAAATTTATTAACAAATAATTAACATAAAATGTCCTTAAAATAAATCTCTTCTGCATCTGCAATTCTGTTTTCTCATATTTAATGTTGCATATTTTTGTGTTCTGTCCTTCTTCCTTTTCTCATGAGTTTATCTATGAGTCTTTTGAATACCCAAGTTTTCTAGATGTATGTTAAAATTATGTTTTACCAAGCCCTTAGATATTCTGTTTTTCCCCTGGACCTGATATTTTATTAGCTTTATAATTCTTCCTTTCAGTTTTTGATCTTTAATACATTTAGACATATTTTAAGTACTTGGGTCCAGGTCTTACCCTGCTTTTTCTCCATATAGTAGACAGTTTTACCAACATTGCCTACAATTTGTGTGTGTTTGTGTGAGTGCGTATGTTTCTGAGCTCTCTATTCTGTTCCATTTCTCTCTGTAATTCTGTCTATTGTTGTATTATAAATTCCGATGCTATATTGTTAGGTGTATATATGTTCATGATCATTAAATACTCTCCATTTCTTTTTCCCTGGTTGGCACATAACATTCCTCTTTATCCCTGAAGCTCTCCTGAGCAACTCTAGCTCTGCCTCGGCCCTCACTCCACCAACATTCACAGGGTTTGATGTCCCTGTCACTTGTCTCTGCTTTCACTCACCAGACACCACCATACAGATTTCCACCTGACAAAAAAAAGTACCACAAGAGCCTACAGGAGGGGTATGGCTTTGAGGAGTTGGTGAAAGAGTCACAAAATGGGAGACATTTGAACCAGTCCTGAAATAGAGATACTTTGTAAATCTCCATGGTAAGGAGCCCAGGATTAACTAATTAATTTCATGTCAAATAGAACCTAATGCCCAGCTTATCTCCACCCTCTGCTTTTCCTCTTAATCACCTCTTTTCACTAGACTGAAAGGAGTGGTACTATAAAATAGCATTCATCATATTGAACCAAGTGAGTAAAGAAAAATATGCTGGACATAAACTGAGTCCCACACTCTCAGGAAAGCTACCCCCTTTTCCACGGGTCCAGGACTGCCTGCTCAGAGCCCATGAGAAGTATCCTCAGAGAAAGTGCCTTCATTTGGAAAATTAATGATGCTCTCACATTTGCTAGTGTGAGGGTTAATTTTATGTGTCAGCTTGGCTAGGCCATGGGACCCAGATATTTGGTCAAACATGCCTGGATATTGTTGTGAAGGTATTTTTTAGATGAGATTAATATTTAAATCAGGAGACTTTGAGAAAAGCAGATTATCTCCATCATGTGGGTGGGCCTCTTCCAATCAACTGAAAGCCTTGTGAAAAAGATTGACCTCCCCATGAAGAAGAGGGAATTCTGCCAGAAGTTGGCCTTCAGATTCGAACTGCTGTACCAACTCTTGCCTGGATCTCCAGCTTGCTGAACTCACCTGCAGATTTTGGACTTGCCAGCCCCCACAATCACATAAGGCAATTCCTTAAAATAAATCACTCATATATGTATACACACACACACACACACACACACACACACACACACACAAAGGAAGTGGGTGATTTTCCAGAAAAATATGTCATAGATAGATGATAGATAGATAGATAGATAGATAGATAGATAGATAGGGCCGGGCGCAGTGGCTCATGCCTGTATTCTGAGCACTTTGGGAGGCCGAGGTGGGTGGATCACCTGAGGTCAGGAATTCGAGACCAGCCTGGCCAACATGGCGAAACCCCGTCTCTACTAAAATTACAAAAATTAGCCTGGCCTGGTGGCATGCACCTGTAGTCCCAGCTACTCAGGAGGCTGAGGCAGGAGAATAGCTTGAACCCAGGAGGCAGAGGTTACAGTGAGCTGAGATTGCACCACTGCACTCCAGCCTGGATGACAGAGTGAGACTCTGTCTCAAAAATAAATAAATACATAAAAAGATAGATAGGGCAGTGCTTCTGAAATTATTTTCCAACATACACGCTAAGGTAGGGCGGGGAGAGTGGAGGAGGTGGAGGAAGAGGAGGGGGTTGAACTGAGGGTGTGAGGCTCCTGGATCTTGACCTCTTCACAAACAGAGGAGTTCTGCTTTTATTATTATCATATATTGGAGTTCTACGTAATGTCACTTTGGGGGAAAAAGATTCTCCTAAATTAAAGCGTAAAAGCCTGGAAACCACTGTTCTAGGGAATTTCTTTTTTTTTTTTTTTTTTTGAGATGGAGTCTCACTCTGCTGCCCAGGCTGGAGTGCAATGGCACAATCTCGGCTCACTGCAACCTCCACCTCCTGGGTTCAAGCGATTCTCCTGCCTCAGCCTCCCGAGTATCTGGGATTACAGGCGCACGCCTCCATGCCCAGCTAATTTTTGTATTTTTAGTAGAGACGGAGTTTCACCATGTTGGCCAGACTGATCTCGAACTCCTGACCTTGTGATCCAACTGCCTTGGCCTCCCAAAGTGCTGGGATTACAGGCGTGAGCCACTGTGCCCAGCCCTCTAGGGAATTTCAATGTGACCTATTTGATGGTAGGATCTGTTTTCTTTTTGCTTTTTTTTTTTTTTGAGACAGTCTCTCACTCTGTCACCCAGGCTGGAGTGCAGTGGCGCAATCTCGGCTCACTGCAACCTCTGCCTCCCGGGTTCAAGTGATTCTCCTGCCTCAGCCTCCCAAATAGCTGGGACTACAGATGCATGCCACCACGCCCGGATCCTTTTTTTTTTTTTTTTTTTTTTTTTGTATTTTTAGTACAGATGGGGTTTCACCATGTTAGCCAGGATAGTCTCGATCTCCTGACCTCGTGATCTGCCTGCCTCTGCCTCCCAAAGTGCTGGGATTACAGGTGTGAGTCACAGTGCCTGGCCGGGATCTGTTTTCAATGGACCCCCTTCCTTCAGTAGGTTGAGACATGAATTAGGCATTTATTTACTGTTTTCCACAATATTCTGCTCTATAATAATATCCCATAAATTTCTATGAGACTCTTTAGTATGAACTCAGCCCAGACAAACCCTTTCCAAGGACTCAGTAAATTATGTCACACTTGCAACTTAAGGAGGGCCCTGGAGTTTCTCTTTGAAGATTCTGGGCTCTGCCACATTTGTCCACAGTCGGTCTGATGTCCATGTGTGGAAGGCAGGTGTGGAGTGGCTGAGGGGGCCACGCGCTCCAGGAAGACAGAAGGCAGCTACTGTTGGCGGGGGAGGGGTGGGTAAAGCCTTCCTGCATCTCTAGCTATGACATCTCCACAGGCAAAACTCCCCTGCCCCCAGCGCAGGTCATCATTTCTACAATCATTTACTGCTGGAGACAAAATCTCCAAAGGACTGACTCAACAGTATGTTCTCTTGCAGAGAATCAAGGGAATAGGGGTAAGAAAGAACTATTTTTTCCTCCTTTTCCCTCAATCACTGACTTTTGGCTTATTTCAAATACCAACATCTGCATCGGTGCAAGCATTCGACCGAGTTTTCTTAGCTCGTTAGGGAAAGGAAGCCGACGTTCAGTTGGCGAGGCTTTCTGGTCTAAAGGCACAGGCAAGGGAGTGTTGGCCATTTGTCTCCTAGACGACCAGGCGGCCTCAGCCACGGTGGAGGCCACCGGCGCGCCTTCCCCTCGGGTTCACCAAGCCTGTCATTTTCAGCCTGCCCGAGGCAAAGCCCACCCTACCCAGCCAAGCATGTTCTTAAAATTCTTTACAGATTAACCCACGTGAATCTAAACCCGGTAGAGGCAAACGCTTTCCCTTCCACTGTGAGCTGCGTTGTAATTTACCCCAACGACCTGTTGAAAAGACCAAGGGAGCTTAGCAACCAGCCGTCCCCAGGGCCCCGGGGGGAAGCTGCAATTACCGGGTGCGAGGCCGGCGGGGCCGCAGCCCCCACTTCAAAGGCGCGGGAGGAGCCGAGGGAGGCGGAGCTGTAATTAGTGCGGGCCCCGCCGGGCGACCACGGGCCTGCTCACGCCTCGCGGCCTCCGAGGAGCAAGGAAAGGCCCGCGTGGGAGCGAAGAGCCAGGGAGGAACAAAGACGCCTCCTGTTTGATGTGAATCACCCAGAACTAGGGAAGGGAGGCGGGCGCACCTCTCCCGCCCAGTCCCTGCAGAGTCAGGGCGCAGAAGGAAGCCTGGCTCAGGGGCGATGGCGTGGGACGGCGACCCCGCCCTGCCCGTGCTCCCCCAGCGCCTGAAGCAGGATGGAGATGCCCTGGTCTGCCCCCGGCCAGGCTCCCTGGACCCTTTGGGATCTGCGGACACAGGGCCTGGACTGGCCACATCCCTGCTCCCAGACAGAGCACAGACCCCGCTGGGGCCCGCCCTGGGTGTCCGCATAGGGAGGGGGCTGGAGAGCAGGAGCCCCCCCGCGCCGCGCCTAAGGGGACCAGGAGCCATGGGGAGGATGCTGTGGGGAAGCTTCCAGAAGGACCCACCCAGGGAGACGGAAGGGTGGGATTCAAGGTGGCCGACCACCAGCCACCTGCCTGATGGCTTGTTGATCCCAGACTGCCTCCAAGTATTCTGGCCTCCATATTGGTGTGCTACGCTTGTTATCTTAAGGTGTTTTTAAAACCCGGTTTTCTAAGGACACAGATGCAGGATGTGCCCTCCGGCAGCCAGGTGCTGACTGGGGCTCAGGGTCTGTGTGGGTGGGTGCGGCTGTGAGTGTGGACGGGCGTGTGTGTAGGAGTGACTTCCTAGAATGAATCCAAGAGGAGCCTCTTTGGGGAAGGTGGTGGGGCCAGGTGGGAAGGCTCTGGCTCTGTGGGGAAGGTGGTGGGGCCAGGTGAGAAGGCTCTGGCTCTGTGCACATTTCTGTAATATCTAAATATTCCAGGTTTCAATCATGAATTACTTCTTTTCTAGAAGGACCAAAAGGGATCATTTGCGATTATGAGCTATTTTTCTTCTTATGATTTTCTAGTACATTTTTAAAAATCTGATAAAGTGGACAGGCGCAGTGGCTCACACCTGTAATCCCAGCACTTTGGGAGGCTGAGGTGGGCAGATCACCTGAGGTCAGGAGTTCGAGACCAGCCTGACCAACATGGAGAAACCCCATCTCTACTAAAAATACAAAATTAGCCGGGTGTGGTAGCGGGCGCCTGTAATCCCAGCTACTCAGGAGGCTGAGGCAGGAGAATTGCTTGAACCCGGGAGGCAGAAGTTGCGGTGAGCCAAGATCACACCATTGCACTCTAGCCTGGGCGACAAGAGCAAAACTCCGTCTCAAAAAAAAGAAAAAAAAAAGTCTTAAACTAGGACTATGCTTTTGGAGCATGTCGCAGGGATCTGAGGCTTGGGGTAAGCGTCGGAGACTGGCTCATTTGGAGCTTTTGGAGCATGTCGCAGGGATCTGAGGCCTGGGGTAAGCCTCGGAGACTGGCTCATTTGGAGCTTTTAAAGCGTGTCGCGGGGACCTGAGTCCTCACAGACTGGCTCATTTGGAGCTTTTGAAGCGTGTTGCGGGGACCTGAGTCCTCGGAGACTGGCTCATTTGGAGCTTTTGGAGTGTGTCGCGGGGACCTGGGGCCTGGGGTAAGCCTTGGAGACTGGCTCATTTGGAAAGGGCTCACCAGGCTGCAGTCACTGTGTGGACTTCCCCAAGGGCCACCCTGTGCCCTGCTTAACATTTTGCCAAAGACAGAAATGGCAAGTTCAAAAAAGTGAGGTTGACAAAGTGAAGTGATAACCCACAGAATCAAAGAAAATATTTGCAAACTATCCATATGGCAAGGGATTCATAACCCAAATATATGAGGAGCTCAGACAACTCAATGGCCAAAAAAAAAAAAAAGCAGCCAGGTGCAGTGGCTCACACCTGTAATCCCAGCACTTTGGGGGGCCAACACAGGTGGACTGCTTGAGCCCAGGAGTTTGAGACCAGCCTGGGCAACATGGCAAAACCCTGTCTCTACAAAAAATACAAAAATTAGCCAGGCGTGCTGTTGCACACCTGTGGTCCCAGCTACTCCGGAGGCTGAGGCGGGAGGATTGGTGATTGATTGCTTGAGCCCGGGAAGCAGAGGCTGCAGGGAGCCATGACTGTGCCACTGCACTCCAGCCTGGGCAACAGAGTGAGACCCTATCTCCAAACAACAATAACAAACAATAATCATCCGATTAAAAATGGGTAAAAGATGTGAACAGACTTTTCTCAAAAGAAGACATACAAAGGCCAACAGGTGTTTTAAAATATGCTCAACATCACTAATCAGCAGAGAAATGCAAATCAAACCACAGTGCATTACCATCTCAGCCCAGTGAAAATGGCTTGTATCAGAAAGACAGGCAATAACAGACGCTGGTGAGGGTGTAGAACACTGTGGGTGGGAAGGTAGCACAGTACAGCCCCTATGAGAAACAGTACGAAAAGCACAACTACCATGTAATCCAGCAATTCCACTACTGGTATTTATCCAAAAGAAAGGAAATTAGTATGTCAGAGATCTCTGCACTCCTGTGTTTATTGCAGCACCGTTCACAATAGCCAAGATACGGAATCAACCTAAGGGCTTATCAGTGGATGAATGGATAAAGAAAATGTGGTAAATATACACAATGGAATATTATTCAGCTATCGAAAAGAATGAAATCCTGTCATTTTCAGCAACATAGATGGAACTGGGGGTCATTATGTTAAGCGCAATAAGCCAGGCACAGAAAGACCAACATCTCACGCTGTCACTCGTGTGGAAGCTAAACCAGAGGCTCCCGTGGAGGCAGAGAGTGGAATGGCGGTTCCCAGAGGAAGGAGGCGGAGGGGCGATAAAGGAGGGAAATCTAAACGTGTTTCTCGTCACTGAGCTGTACGCTTTAAAATGGTGCAGATGGTACATTTTATATGTATGTTATTCCTCAATTTAAAAATTAATTTTAAAAGCGAGGTTAATGTTGCAAATGTTGTCACTGAGGCACCCACGTGTTTACCTTAAATTGCGTTTTGTGGCACTCAGGGACAGGCAGGCTATTTAAAAAGTGTGCATTTTTTCAGCTTCACTAGAAATAGAATTTGTGGCAGTTTGTGGACTTTGTCACGAATCAAGCTTTCCTTTGGGAAGATCTTTCCTGTGTGGGCTTGGGTGAGTGCCTTTGCCTGCTGGAGGGAGGGGGAGCCTGCCTCAGTGGTGGTGGGGGCTGTGGGGATGGAGTCTTTATCCCATAAGGAGCTCTCAGTGTGCCCAGGCATCTCATAGGGATTGTACCCACCATCCCCATGGTGGGCTGATTCCGGGTCTCACCAACAGCCCTCATGACCCACCTGCTGGGCACCATGAGCCCGCCCCAGCTGCCCTGCAGATCACAGATGCCGGAAAGGCTCCCGGTGCCTGCTCCTGCTCCTGCAGCTGAGCAGCCAGCCACACCCGCTCCTCCTCCCCAGGTCCACAGCCGCCAAGTTCTGAGTCTTCCCCACCCCAAGCCTGTCCCTTTCTCCACCAAGGGCCAGCACAGCCATCTGGGTTGTCCACACCAACTCCCCTCCACAGTCCTCATTCCTGAAGGCACCCCTCCCTACTCAGCCCTGCCGCCTCTTCCTCTAAGGGACCCCTCCTGGACAGGGTTCTCAAAGTCCAGTGCACACAAAACCCTGGGGGTTCCAGCTTGTGAGGTCAGCATGGGCTGGGAGTGCCCTGACCCCACTTTGAGAAACACCACAGCTCCATCCCCAGCAGAGGTGCTGGTCCCCCCAGGGTCCTTCTCCATCTTGGAGGGACATGTGCCCCTCACTTGCTCCTACTCAGGATCTAGGCCTCCTTGCTGCACCCAGCACAGCTGCCCTGAACTCCCCCTCCCCTCCGCCGCAGCCTCCCCTCCGCCGCAGCCTCCCCTCTGCCACAGCCTCCCCTCCGCCACAGCCTCCCCTCCGCTGCAGCCTCTCTGGCCTCCTGTGAACTGCTTGGCTGTTCCTAAGCCTTGGTCCCTGGAAAATCCCAGTTCCAGCTCAGCGCCCACATCCAGGTGATGCTCAAATGGGCCCAGCCTCAACTCTCAGCCCACAGAGCTCAGAGGACGGCTGAGGCCTCTGGTCAGAAGACCCCAGGCTTCCCCGAAGGAAGGGACACCTCACGAGGACAGCCTGTCACCACAGTCCTAATGGACTTCCAGGGACCACAGTGCCAGCGCTTTCCATCAGAATGGCTGACAGTATTAGAGATCATACATCATTCATTTGCCTCACGAACCCCGAGGGAGTGCTTGCTCCAGAGAGACCCCTGGGCTCCCAGGGCCTGGCACTGGTGACAGTGGCATGGGAGGGGCACATGAGCCGGGTGGCACAGCAAGGCAGCACCGTGACCCTAGGGGTGCTGTGGGCGGAGAAGATGGGGGCAGTCCTGGGCTGCTGAGCTTCTCTGAGGGGTCATCGTCCTTCAGGCAAGTGGCAGGAAGTGGCCCACAGGCTTCCAAGCTGCGGGAGCAGAGTGAACAAGCAGCAGGAAGAGCTGAGAGTCCTGGGAACAGTGGAGCCTGCATGGAGGGGACAGGAAAGGGGATGGAGTCCGGGGCAGCAGTGAGAGACCCAGAGGACGAGAGACCTGGAGACACCTGCAGCCCTGGGAGACGCCCTGGCAGCCAGGGCTCAGGAAAAACCATCCTCAGAGAAGACACACGAGGTCATTATTCAGAACAAGAGTAGGTAGATAAAAGCATATCCTTTGGGAGGCTAAGGCGGGCAGATCACCTGAGGTCAGGAGTTCGAGACCAGCCTGACCAACATGGAGAAACCCCATCTCTACTAAAAATACAAAATTAGCTGGGCGTGATGGCGCATGCCTGTAATCCCAGCTACTCGGGAGGCTGAGGCAGGAGAATCATTTGAACCCCGGAGGCAGAGGTTGTGTTGAGCCGAGATCGCGCCATTGCACTCCAGCCTGGGCAACAAGAGCAAAACTCCATCTCAAAAAAAAAAAAAAAAAAAAAAAAAAAGTATATCTTGGCATTAGTGCTATTCTCAGCATCAGAAGTCAAAATGGCAACTCATTAAGCATCACCACCAGCGATGTTTGTGGTGGGAGAGTGGAGACCATAGACCCCCAGCATTGATAATGTTGGTCCAAGTAAAATGCAAGAACTTCAAATGCAAGGGTCAAAGTGTCCCTTGAATAACCGCATTTTTCTCGGGTAGAATTCCAAATTACAGCGAGTTCATAGCACTGGTCCTGCCCCGCCACGATGACCCACTTGGTGTTGATGGACGAGAACGCGCTTGTGTCTTACTCGTGCAGTTTGCTAAACTAACAACCAAAAGGCCATCGCGCCCTTACAGTTTTATTCCCCGCTGACAGATTTGAGGGGAGCTGTCAGGTGGGAGGCTTCTGAGAGCATTCTAGCCTATTACACCCAGCAAATAGATTACATCACTTAGACATACGTTTGCTTTTAAAAATAACTTTATTTTTCCTACGACACAAGTAATAATAGGTTCCTTGTTGAAACCTCATCACATATGGATGACAAAAAGTAGGAATGAAAACTGATCACAATTTCACTGTCAGAGATAGACACTGAGCATCTCGGCACCGTGCAGCAAGAATGTATGTAGATACCCATGGTAGATAAAAAATATATGATATATGGGCATAAAACATGGACTGTCCCGTCGTCTTCTGTGAGCCGCCAGCACAGCTGATGATGTGGGTGGCACAGGCATTGAGTCACCACTGGGAGTGGCCGTCATCCCTCTCCTGAAGAGACGGGGGATAGGGGGCCTGTGGGGCACCTGGGGATCGTCCCCTCCTCCACATGGCCTGTGCAGCTGGTCAGAGTGAGCTCACCAGGAGCACCGGCTGCTCCCAGCCCTGGGCCCCCTTGAGTTCTCCACCAGCACCCCGCCCCTGCGAATATGCACAGATCAAGGGGACAGGGCCCCGCTGGGCCACAGGCTCAGGACAGGTGACCATCCAAGAGGGCCGGGAAGTGGAGGGTGCTGCACACTGGCCTGCTGGCCCAGTATCACCCGATCTCGTGTCTGCCTCTTGAGCGCTGATGGTGTGCGTCTGTGCCCCTCACAAAACAGCACTGCGGTAAGTCCAAGACACAAGCGGGCCAAAGACTCAAGGCAGTGCAGAAGGCGGCACGTGTTCCAGGGGAACACGGCACCCCTGACCATAGCAAGAGGCACAGGAAAGCGGCCTGCAGCAGGGAGGGGGCGGAGAGCCTGGTGTCTTCTGCATCCTAGGGAGCCAGGCTGCCTGTGCCCCAGTGGCTTCTCCATAACTTCTGGGTTCTGTGGATGTCCCCTGCAGCCGGGACTCCTGACCGAGGCAGCTCCGTCAGGGTCCAACTGATTCCCCGCACATTGGGCAAGAGGTGGTTCCTAATCACACATCAGCTTCTTGATGACCGTTAGTGGATTTTGGCTGCTGTAAGAAAATACCACTGACTGGGTGTTTCAACAACAAGCTGTGTTCCTCACAGTCTAGGGGCTGGAAGTTGGAGGCCAAGGTGGCAGCAGGGTCGGGTTCTGGCAAGGACACTCTTCCTGGTTTGCTCGCGGCTGTCTTCTTCTTGCACCCTCATGTGGCAGACAGAGCAAAAGTGACAGCATGCTCTCTGGGGTCTCCTTCATAAGAGGACCCCATCATGAGGGCCACAACCTAATCACCTCCCAAACGCCCTGCCTCCTAGCGCCACCACACCAGGGTTAGAATTTCTATATAGGAACTCTGGGGAGATGCAATCGGCCCATAACATTCTATTCCTGACTCCGAAATTGTACGTCCTTCTCATGTGCAAAACACATTCATTTCACCCCTCCAACCCCAAAGTGGTGGCTCGTTCTGCCATCAGCTCTAAAGTCTAAAGTCCAAAGTCTCATCTAAACATCATCTAAATCAGATACGGGTGACACTCAAAGTTTACTTCCTCCCTAGCTGTGAACCTGTAAAATGGAACAAGTTACATGCGTTTAAAATACAATGGTGGGAGAGCCATATGACAGACTTTCCCATTCCGAAGGGGGAAATGGGAAGGAAGAAAAGGGTAACAGGTCCCATGGAGCCTGGACCCCAATAGGGCAAACAATGTTAAATCTTCAGGCTCAAGAATCATCTTCTTTGGCTTGAGCCCCTGCCCTCCAGACCCACTACGGCCATGGTCCTGCCCCTGCAGCTCTGGGGGGCAGGGGTCATGCCTGCAAGGCTCTGGGCAGCCCTGCCCCCAAGGCTTTGGGCAGGGAGCATCTGGCCTGTTGCTCCCAGGGAGCAGCTGCCCATGTGGCAGCCCTGATGGACTCTAAATCACCTTCTGGGTCCTTCTTCCCTTGTCTTGAAGAATAGTGCATGTTCACAGCCAAATAGCTCCCTGGTCCTGCTCGGTACAACCCAAGAGGTCAGACGGCCAAACTCACTTCCTTCCCCTCTCTCCCACCTTTGGTTCAAGCTGAGTGTTCCTGCCGGGACAGCTGGTTGTGACTGTGGTTCACACCCACACAAATCCCCTTATCAGATGGTCATCTGGCTATGCCCTTAATGTTCTCTTCCAAACACACATTCTCATTTTTTTACATTATGCATAGGCTGAGGATTTTCCAAATCTTTAAGTTCTGGTTTCTTTTTGTTTAACAGCTTGGTCTTGAAATCATTTCTAGCTTCTCACATTTTACCATAAGCAGCCAGGAGGAACTAAGCCGTCCCTTCAACACTTTGCTTATAAACCCCCTCAGCCAAGTATCGTGTTTCATTACTCACAAGTTCTGCTTTCCACACAACACCAGGACACAAACATAGTTCGGCCGAGTTCTTTGCTGCTTTTTAACAAGGTGGCCTTTCCTCCAGTTGACACTAGCATGTTCCTGGTTTCCATCTGAGCCTTCCCATCCAGGGTTCTGCTCACGATCCCCTAGGCGTCCTCTGAGAAGACAGAGGCTCTCTCTGCAGTGCTTCTCTTCTTGCTGAGCCCGCACCAGAATCACCTTTAAAAAGCTGTTCGTAGCCATCTAGGCTTTTTCTAGCATGTGGCTCCGAATGATTCCAGCTGCCCCCATTCATCAGTTCCAAGGCCACATCCACATTCACAGGCGTTGGTTGCAGCAGCTCTCACTCCTCGCACTGATCTTCTGTCCTGGCTTGGGTGCCGCAACGGTGCCTGTAGACTGGATGGTGTTCAGAAAACAGGCATTTATTTCCTCACAGTGCTGGGGGCTGGGAATTGGAGACCAGGGTGCCAGCACAGTTGGAGTCTGTTAAAAGCTCTCCCAGGTTGCAGACAGCTGTCTTTTCACTGTGTCCTCACACAGTGGAAGGGGCAAGGCAGCTCTCTGGGGCCTCTTTTATATGGACACGAATCCCATTCACAAGGGCTCCACTCTTATGACCTCATCAGCCCCCAAAGGACCCATCTCCTAATACCCTCACCTTGGGGGTTATGGTTTCAACAGATATATTTAGGGGAGACACAAACATTCAGTCCACGACAATGACCACAAAACCCAGATTTTAATTCAGTGAAATCCAAACAACATGGCAAGACTCCTCACATCAAGATGCTCAGGTTTTATGTCACATGGAAAGCTAGTCACAGCCCCATCCAACACAAGTCCTATCTGCAAAATGCTGACAACCTGGTGGCAAGAGGACGGTGAGGGAAGGAGAGGGACAGGCAGGGAGGAAAGGCAGGCTCCACAGAGGAGATGCAGGTGAGGGGAAAGGAGCACTGGGAATGGCTGGGCGTGAGACTCGGAGCCAAATACACAGCAGTAGAGGGACTTCTGCCCCTGCAACAGTGAGGAGGCACCTGCGGCCTGGCACCTGCGGCCTGGGCATGGGAGCTCAGGAAGCAGCAGCAGGCTTGGGAGATGCCTGGAGCTGAAGGAGCACAGCCGCGGCCGGGGCCCAGACCGGGCACGTCCTGCAGGGCTCAGCTTCCCCCAGCACAGCTCAGTTTTAGGAATAGGATAAAGTGGCATTAAAAGACAGAAGCAAGATGGGGGTAAATGAAAACAAACTGTGTTTACCACACTTCTGACACCAAATGTGTGGGTTTCCATACCAATTCTCCAATTCTGCGTCAGTGCCAATGGGGTATCCCGCAATCTAATTCAGTTCTGACACCAACTGACCAGGGTCAGCACAGACCCCTCAGGCTGAGGGATGGGCCCAGGAAACTGTCCCCACTCCAAGTGCCAATCACAGGTCCCGGGGTGTCATCTGTCCCCAGTACCTCGGCTATAAATTGGGAGTTCCCATGACCCCCTCCTTAGGTTCAATAATTTGCTATAATAATTCACAAAACTCAGGGAAACGTCACTTCTGTTTGCTGGGTTACTCTCCTAATAAAGGGTGTGCTGAAGGACACAGATGAGCAGCAGGTGAGGGGTGCGCAGGGCAAGGCCCAGAGGGACCCTGAGTGCAGGAGCTGGCATCCGTGGAGCCCCGGCTGCCCCGCCCTCCCAGCTCAGGATGTGTTCCCAGCCCGGTAGCTCTCTGCATCCTCTGTGTGGGGGTTTGAAGGAGCCTCCGTGACGCATGACTGGTGAAGTTAGTGACTCCTGGTGACTGACTCAGTCCCCAACCTCTGCACGGAGGTCACAGGTTCCAGCAAGTCCCAGCCTCGAATCCTGCCTTGGTCTTTCTGCCACCAGCACCCCATTCTGATGCTGCCTAGGTCCCCGCCTCCAGTCATCTGCCTTAATCTTTCTGCCACCAGCGCCCCATTCTGAAGCTGCCTAGGGCCCCGCCTCCTGCCTTGGTCTTTCTAGCCACCAGCACCCCATCCTGAAGCTGGCTAGGGCCCCACCTCCAGTCATCTGTCTTGGTCTTTCTAGCCACCAGCACCCCATCCTGAACCTGGTTAGGGCCTCACCTCCAGGCATCTGCCTTAATCTTTCTGCCACCAGCACCCCATTCTGAAGCTGGCTAGGGCCTCACCTCCAGGCATCTCATCAACAAACAGAAAACATTCATGTCTCCCAAGAGTCCAAGGGTCTTAGGAGCTAGGACAAAATATTGTAACACGTGATGTTTCTCTCACCCCATCGCTCAGGAAGTTACAAGGGCTTTAAAAGCTCCATGCCAGGAATCTGTTTCTGATTATGCCACGGGGCCTTCTAGTACCGGGGCAGAGGCTACATCCAGGCTACTGCACGGCTGTGTTTCTGGAAGAGCAGATCCATACGGAGTGTGACCTGACTCTTGGGCAGGTTTTCGGCTGTCTCTGATGGCTGTGCCTGCCCTCCCTGCCCCTGGAGCTGGGCCTGGCAGTGGGTCTTCTGGGTGGGGGCGATTGCTGGCTCTTGGCTCTGACTGCTTGCTTCCTGGGCCTTGGGCCATGGGCAGCAGAGACTCAGGGCATGGGGTACTCCCTCCCCTTGAGCCTTGAGTAACTTCAACCCTCCTTGGACTTGCAACATGCAAAAATAGATCTTGGCTGTTTTGACCCACAGGGATGTGGGCTGCACGTTATGTGAGCTGAATGGCGCATCTGGGCCTGTGTCTCGTGACTGACTCAGCTGCTTTGGCTCTTGGCCTCGGAGTGTAGGGTGCCCGGCCTCGGAGCATTACCCCCGGGAGGTAAAACCCTTGTGGGGTCAGGACATGTCATCCATGAGAAAGTGCCACGTGGCCTGAAGTCAGCATCCCCACACATGCTGTGGCTCTCTGTCCTCTCTGAATGTCACTGCTCGAGATAGGGCCCGGCTTGGGTGGGGCTGCAGGCGGGGTTAAACTGCCCCTGGGTGAGAGGGAAGAGCAAATCCCTTCACTTCGCTGGGCTTCCATTTCCTGACCCATAAAATGGGAACCCTGCTGGTGGCCATTGCCCTGCCTCCCCGAGTTCCTACAAAGCAGGTGGCCTGGGTCTGGGCTCAGCCCCCTCCACTGGGCCAGGAGATAATGCCATTAGTGTAACCACAGCAGTGGCCACTCCCAAATGCCACTCGGCCCCTGGAAACTCAGCCTTCCATCCAAAAGGTCCCCGAAGTGGGGAGCGGCCCCTCAGTCATTCCACACAGCAGGCCCCACCCACCCCCCCGTGCCGGGGATACACGTGCTCAGGGCACACTCCATATGGATCTGTCGTCTGCCTCGATGACTTTTCACCCACACATGGGATTCAAGGCATGATACGGGTCTTTAGGACATAACTGTTTAATTCCTGAGCTTCCCAAAACTCGGAGGTTTGGGAGAAATGGGGCTGGAGCTAGAGCAATAGCCATGTGCCCTGTGGACTCTGGCCAGCTCTTGCTGCCATCCCGCCTGCCCCGGCCCCGTCCTCTTCCAATTCCCGTTTACAGCCCTGCCCTCCGTGCCTGTCCCAGGCACCTCTGGCCTCCTCGCTGTGGCCCATGCCAGGTCATTCCCTACTGTCAGAGCCTCCCTCTCCCAACCCCAGGCCCCGGCTGCAGGGAGGGTGCCAACAGGAGGGGGCAGGACAGGAGAGGCCCCATCCCCGGAAATGAGACCAGAGCCGCTCTGGGAATGGCCAGGGCTGCCCGGCGGCAAGTCACGAGCAGGGCGTCACTGTCCCAGCGCGGCTTCCCAGCCTCCTGCAGGGGCCAGGGTTGGGGTGCATTCTCTGTCTTCTCAGTGAGGACGCGCAAATGTTCCAGGATGGAAGATAAATGTTCAGGAAAACGAGGACCCAGAAATTCTTCATGGGCTGCATGAGCCCTGAGGCCCGACTGGCAGGCCACTGAGGTCACCTGAAAAACTGGTGACAACGGGCGGGCTCAGCGGCTACCCGGGGACAATCACGGCAGGCGGAAGAGCGGCACTGGCGTGGAGCTCCCAGGCTCTGTGAGGCTCCAGGCAGCGCCCTCTCCAGCCCTGGCAGCCAGGCTGGGGTCCCCAGCTCCCAGTGTTTACCCAGCAGGCCCTGCCTTCTGACAAATTAACTCTGAAAGGCTTAAAAAGTGTGCCGTGTGCTTTGGCTCTGACCTAAGATAGACGACACAGCAGAACACACAGAGGGTGTCCCACTTGAGGAGCCTCCACACAGGCAGCGAGGTAATCCAAAGCTCTGAATTCCAGGTCAGGCCCACGCACCACGAGGAGAGAGGAAGCAGATGGTCCTCCTTGCAGGGATGTGTCACGTCCTCCCACAATACACAGGGTCTCCATCCCCCAACGGGGTCACGGGTGCTCCCTGCAGGGTGCAAGACAGTGTCCTTCCTTGTGGTCTAGGCTGGAGAAAGGTAGACTTCAGGGGAGAAGAGCTGGTTCCTCTCAAGGTGGCGGCCAGCTGAGATGTCAGGAGTGCCAGTGTCCTGGGGCTGCTGTGACAACAGCCACAAACCAGGCAGCTTAAAGCAACAGAAAAGTCTTGTCTCAGGCCTGGAGCCAGAGGTCTCAGATCAAAGTGTCACTGGGCCGCACTGTCTCTGGAGGCTCCAGGGGAGGATCCTTCCTGCCTCCTCCAGCTCCTGGCAGCTGTGGTGTTTCCCGGCCTGTGGCCGCATCACTGCAACCTCTGTCTCCCTTGTCATGCGGCCACCTGCTGAGTCTCTGTCTCCACACGACCTTCACATAAGGACATATGCCTCTTGGGTTAGGGCCACCCCAATGACCTCACCTGCACTTGATTATACCTGCAAAGACCCTTTTTCCAAATAAGGGCATATTCACAGGAAAAAGACTTCAGCATCTTTTTTGGGGTGGCCATGCAGAATCATGGGTGTTTCTGTGGGCCACTGCAGAGGGCCTGAAGTCCAGCCTGTCAGTGGTGAGCTAGGGAAACTGAGGCAGAGAGATCCAGAGGATTCTTTGAGGCACAGCAAGCTGGAGAGGAGCTGGGCCTGCTCCTGGCCGGATCCTCTGGGGCTCTCCAGAAGCCTCGCCTTGAGGCCGTCACAAAATCCCTGTCCTGTTGCCACATCCCTGGGTACCCCAGGCCCACCTGACTTCCCACTCTGTCCTAGCCAGCAGCAGCAGGGCCGTTGCAGGCTCCACATGCTTCCAGGGCACCAGCCCTCCCCGAGTGACACCCCCTTCTCATCATCTGCCAGTTCACCCACACAAGAGTACACAGGAGGAGTGGGCATCTTTTTTAGGGTCCCTCTGGCAAAGCTGCACAAGGTTCACTGAGATGATCATTTACAGTAGGCTGCATGTCCAGAGGCCAAGGAAATAGCCTGGTGGGAACAAGTTAGCAAACACGGTGAGGACACCACAGTCCAGCTGAACTCACAGAGCACGGGCACCAGGCCAACATAGTGAGTGACGCAGCTGCCCTGACTGGGCTGGGCATCCATGGGAGGGGCAGACACTGGTGCTTAGCAAGGACCTGCAGGGCCCTGTACCCTGAGATAAATCACAGCTCCCTCCTGAGAGCCCTTCTGGGTGTCCCCCATCTGCTGTGGGGCCACAGAGGCCATGTCATGGTGGATCATGGAAACAAACGTCCCACAGAGGGGAAAGCAGAGAGAGATGGGGCAGCTGGGATGCAGCAAGCAACAGGCCAAGCCTCTCTGAGAAGGGACTTGATGCAGAGGCCCTCTGCAGGGGACAAAGTTGAAGTTTCCAGAGAACAGCCAGGGGAGGGGTGGGGTGGAGGGCAGGGGGAGGGGGAAGGACAGGTGGGGGCTGGGCAGGTGAGCAGGGGAGGGACAGGCGAGTGGGGGCAGGCTTCATGTGTTTTGTGGGCAGGGAAGGGTGTCTGTGTCTTACTCTGGTGTAACAAGGAGCCAGGGAGGGTTTGAACAGGGTGGGGTGCATGATCTGAGCACCAGGGAGAGGAGACTTGGGGGCAAAGGTGGGAGCAAGAGACTGTTGGGAGGATCTAGGATATCCTGGAGAAATGATGCTTGGATAAAAATAACACATTTTAAAGGCTGGACAGACAGAGCTGAAGGAGGATGAGATGTGGATGTGAGGGAGGAGAGCAGGCATGGGGAGCCCTCTTCCCTTACACACCACTGCTTGGCCAAACAGCAGGCAGAACAAAGGATAGGGATAGCCTGCCACTGCGTGGACTCTGGTTTTTCTCCCACTGGTCAAAAATGCAGCGTGAAGAGTGATTTGGGGGAAAATGAATTTAAAAGGTGTCATATTCCAAAGCATTTTGAGTAATAGAGGAAGTTTCTTCCAAATGGATGAGGGAAATAAATGATTTCCCCCAAATTGTCTCCCCTCTCAGCCCAGCCCTCATCCATTAAACAGGCAGCCTGCTTCTTCTAACAGCCCACTTGAACAGTGGAGTTTGAATCCAAAGATGGAGGAAGAACCTCAGAGCATGGAAGACAAGAGACTCAGCCTGGGCGTGGCAGGGAGGGCTTCCTGAAAGACAGGGTGCATAAGACAGGTTTTGAAGAAGGGGTTTTGGGGTGGAAAAACAAGGGGGACAGGAGTTTCAGGCAGAGAACATGCTGGTGGATGCCAGAGCATCCAAAAAGGAGAGTGCAGGAGATTCTCAATCAAGATATGCTCGCAAAGGAGCCGACATTCACCAGAAAGCTCATTAGAGGCCTTAAGAGCTCACCACAAACTGTCATGAAGGCAGAACCAGAACCAAATGTTTTCTTTGTTTATGAAAGGCAACATGGCTCTTATGCACCTGGTGGAATGTACAAGTCATGTTTATTTGGGGGCAATCTCTCAGTATTTAAAATGGCAATACCTCTGACCCAGTGATTCCTGTTTGGGACTTTTTTTTTATATATACAGATTTACCTCCACATACATATAACAACATGAGAACCAAAATATTATGGCAGTGCTGTTTAAGAACAGAAGATGGAAACAAATTGGCTGTCAATACAGAGGGGACTGAGTAAAGGTTGGGATGCCAATTCAAGGGACACTATGCAGCCACTCAAATGAAGACGATACATCTGGACATTTTCCATGACACAAGATCCCAGATAGATCATTAAGAGAAGCAAAGATGGCAAACAACCATCTTTCGAAGGATGTATGAATCCAGCAGCTGGCAGAAATGGATTGGAGGAAGTCATCATCACTCTATGCAACTCTAAATCATGTTCCCGCATCGCTACTCAAAATACTCAATCTGAGTCAAGGCCTTGGTCTGGCAAGCACCAGCTAATTGGGCTCTCTGTCCTTCCTGCAGAGACCTCTGAGCAGCAGCTGCCTGGTGTCCTCCACAGGGGTCAGCCTCTGACCTGGGAAACCCTGACGAGCCTTACCTTTCCACTCAGCACACATGAAATCAAGAGGAATACACCATGTTTCCAAGCTTTCTCCTGTCCTGGAGCCAGGAGCCCCAAGTCCCCTGAATGGCATAGGCCCCAAGGCCAGCCAGGCAGCTGTTAGCAGGGGAAAGATGAGTGGGTGCTGGACAGGCCAAAACCATATACATCCCCACAGAGGCAGTGGCAATAATCCCAGTGAGAGAGGAGCAAGAAAGGAGGGACAACTATACCAGACTTAAGAGATGCAAGGGGAGTGAATCGATAGCAACCTTAGAAAAAAGGTCTTCAACCAGGGGCTAGCCCCACTCTCTCAAGGGCATGCAGTCCTCAGAGGATCCAGGCCCAAGAGCTTTAAGAGACATATTATTTTCTTGAAATGTAAAGTGAAAAGTTGGCATTAAAAAAGGGATGTTGAGGCCGCAATAGGGTGCTCTGAAGGTAGAGTGGGTACAGTGGCTGTTATCCTTAACTGCTCCTTTTCTAGCCCCTGCACTTGCCAAAAAACACATTTCTCCTGGGGCAGTCCTGTTCAAGCAATGACAATGTAGGAAGAAAGCAAAGATGGCAGTGTAGATCCCAAGTCCATGTAGGAGACACCTGGGACAAGCTTCAGTGTCCCTCCCTCTGTCCATCCACCTGCCCAGCCATCCATTTATGCATCTATTGCTCCTAGACCTAGGGTATCATGTTACCCAAACAGCATGCTGTGAAATGCCGCTCTGCATCCTCTCTGTTCTGGGCCATGAGAGCTCCACTTCTGCCCCTGCACCTCAGCCCCAAGGTCAGTTGTATATTTGTAGCATCTCAAGGAGGAGGAAGTGGGAAGTTTCACATTTCCTTCTGATGGACCAGTAATAAATCTTTAAGGAAAAGGACACACATCAGAACTCCCTCTCCCTCTCTTTCTTCCTCTCCCCCATCTCTCAGAGCCCAGCTGCCATGTAAAAAAGTCCAGGCTATCCTGCTGGACAGGCCATATGGTACAGAACTAAAGCACAAACTGACTGCCAGCCCTGTGAGGAAGCTTTCTTAAAAGTGACACTCCTTTTAAACACTGCAGATGATGCATCCCCAGCCAACATCTAACTGCAACCTCATAAGATGTTCTGAACAAGAACCACCAACTAAGCTTCTAGTCCCTGACTCCTAGAAACTGTGTGGCATAATACATTTGGCTGTTTTAAGCTACTGTTTGGGGACAGTTTGTTACACAGCAGTAGACTGTAGTGCATACTATAAATCCAGAGTCACTTTGCATTTGGACACAAGTCTTTCTTCTTGCTGCCCAGCTGCTATGTTTCCACTTGTCCATTCGGTCCTATCAGTCCTGACTTGACTTAGATCACATGAACAACAACACAATGCCAATTCTAGCTTAAATAAGACATTTAGCACAGTTTTCAAAATACTCATCCTAAGCTCCAGACTTATTAATGGCCAAGACATTATTATCTCTTTGCTTTTTAATTTCTGCAGGGCTCAGTTTCATTCTATCACAAAATGATGACAGATGCAGGAGGCAGGTAAGTGAGGGTCCCCACAGAATCTCCAGCCCACCCCACAAGTGTTTATATCAGATACTTTTGTGTAGATGAGGGAACCTGCCCAGAGTCTTGTCTGCACATGCTTGCAACGGACTGGGGGCCCCCCTGTGCACTGGGAGAATGGGGTGGAGGCATGGGAAGTGCATGCCTTGTGCAGCGGGGAGGAGCCTGGCCTCTTCGGCTTGTATGTGGTGGCCTGGAATTCAATCTGTGAGGTGCGACCCTGTTGGCAGGACCTCATTTTATTTTTGCCAAGAGCTTTCTTTTAATAAATCTCACCTTTCAACATGTCCACGTGCCTAATTTTTTCCTGGTAATGGGACAAGAACCCAGGTTTTAGCTGAGCTAAGGAGTAAAAATCCTGCATCATTTTGGTGGCCCATACAGGGACACGAGCAAAGGTGAGTAAATGCGGACCAAAACATCTTTTTCCCTTTTGTTTTTGAGCCTATTTGTCCTCAGACTTCTTCTGAAGGTAAAGGAAACAGGCCCCCACCCTTGCCACTCCCAGGGGTCAAGAATGTCGGCCTCGGTCCGACCCAGACTTTCTATGGCATTTTCCTTCATTGTTTGGGACAGATGGGCAAGCGGCAACTCCCCGCCCGCCTGGCCTCCCCTCCCAGCTGGGGCTGGGGTGCATAGCTCAAAGGCTGCATGTGGCAGGCTGGCCAGCATTCCCCACCATATGTCCATGGTGTCTCCTCATTCCATGACTGAGGAGTCCAGCTCCATTCAAGCCCTAGGGAAGAAACAGCAGTAAGTTTCTCTCCCTGTTGGAGGAAACTATTTGTATAAGAATAAGAGGTTCTTTCCCAAGGCATCTTTCCAACCCTGCACTTTAAGCTTTTTTTCTTTTCTCCACCAGGTCAGGAGTTAACTTTTAAGTGAGAGGGTTTTTTTCCCCCTTTTAGAAAGCACTTTAGTAGGCCAGAACCCTAGCTATCACTGTTTTTCTCTGTAAAGTTTTAATTATGAAAAAGGATTTGTAGGCCAGCTGCAGTGGCTCACATCTGTAATCCCTGCACTTTGGGAGGTCGAGGTGGGTGGATCACCTAAGGTCAGGAGTTCAAGACCAGCCTGGCCAACATGATGAAATCCTGTCTCTACTAAAAATACAAAAAATTAGCTGGGCATGGTGGTGCGCACCTGTAATCCCAGCTACTCAGGAGGCTGAGGTAGGAAAATCACTTGAACCCAGAAGGCAGAGGTTGCAGTGAGCTAAGATTGCGCCACTGCACTCCAGCCTGGGCAACAAGAGTAAAAAACTAGGAAGGAAGGAAGGAAGGAAGGAAGGAAGGAGGGAAGGAAGGAAGGAAGGAAGGAAGGAAGGAAGGAAGGGGGAGGGAGGGAGGGAAGGAAAGAAGGAAGGAAAGAAAGAAGGAAAGAGAGAAGAGAGAGAAAGATGAGAGAGAGGAGAGACAGAAAGAAAGGAAGGAAGGAAGGAAGGAAGGAAGGAGGAGGGAGGGAGGGAGGGAAGGAAAGAAGGAAGGAAAGAAAGAAGGAAAGAGAGAAGAGAGAGAAAGATGAGAGAGAGGAGAGACAGAAAGAAAGAAAGGAAGGAAGGAAGGAAGGAAGGAAGGAAGGAAGGAAGGAAGGAAGGAAGGAAAGATTTGTGAGTTGGTCTTAAGCTACAGCCAATCTGGTGTGCTCTGCATGTCTTTCTGTATGGTCAGTAGCAAACTTTGCTGCAGGCCTCCATCTTGTTTTATGTCCTTGGGAGCATGACCTGTAGCGACATGGCAGTGCTTTGGTTTAGCCTTCACCATTTTACAATGGCGGCCCAGGTCCAATCCTGGCTTAGGGAATGAGTTCTTTCTGGTTTGATATCTACATGACCTTTGCCATTTGTTGATTCCCTTCCCCTCCACAAACTGCCTTGGATTTTCCTTTCTCTGAACCTTCAGAAAAGTTTGAAAGCCAGAAATATTGGCCGCTTGGCATGGCTAAAGCTGGGTAATGAGATTTAAAAGGATTTTATTAAAGAGCACTCAGCTTAATTAAAAGTGGATATCCAAGTTACAGGTATATTTAAAAGGCCTTTGTTTTTCTCTTCTTGGATCTTGTTTTGCTGGAAAGAGGTTTTTTCTCAGTCAACTGAATTATTTTTCTCCATTTTGCCTTGCCACTCTTAATGCACACATGAAAGATGAGAGACCTCTGATTTCCTCATGGAGCCCCAGGAATTAGAGGCAGATGGATCCCTCTCAAAATCTGTTTTTGTCTCCCAGCTATATTTGCTTATGAGAGCCTGGAAACTGCATGTTTTCCTAGTCTTGCTCTTAAAGGGCTCCACCCAGAGGCCAACAATCCAATTATGAAAAATATTATAGCTACTGAATCTTCTTCTGCCTGTGTAGTTATATATGTGTTGTGTGTGTGATGTCTATTAAAAAAGAGCTCTAATTAATTGACTTAAGGAAGGATAAGCACTTGGATCAAATATTTTTTAAAGGTAAGATAAAAGCTGTGGTACCTTTTAGCTCACGTGACTTTAGTTTATGGCTTTTCCATAAATTGAGCATTGAAATAAAAGCCCAAAAGGGTTCTCTTAAGACACTAATCTGCTATCTAGCAAAATTTGTAAAGGGTTATAAAAAGTTTTTGCTTCTTAAAAAAATGTCTGAGTCATCATTTTGGTGAAATAAATAACTTATGGAAATCTGGAATTCTATTTCATAACATCAACTCTTTAAACTTCTAACATATTTGACAGGCTTCCCAAAATCAAATTCCTGTTTCAAAAATTGTCTTTCCTGATCCCTGGCTTTTGGATGCCACAGAGGGCCCCTGGAGCACCCAGAAGAGAGGTAAACAGGATTACCTGACACAGTTAGGTACATGGGATTACCAAAATGATCTTTAATATTCCTCAGGTTATATTTTAGGGAATAATATTAATATATGTTCCAAAGTTGTATGGGATTTCTAAAATTCTAATGTCTGAGTATATGCTATCGATCACAATTAAGGTTGTTAAGTTATTGTAAACTATGGAGATAACCAAATGTATTTGTCAGTTGTGTTTCTGACTGTAACTACCCTGGACATTTTGTTATTCATAGACAATTGTTGTCTTGTTTTGATCCTCTTCAAAGGATGGTTTATAATCAGCTACAGAACTTCACCAGGTGCTCTCAAATGCAGGTTTCTAATAATTTTGGAGATTGTGACATTAGAATAAAGGAAAAATGTACCAGACTCATGAAGAGCTGAAATGTTCACAAATAGCAAGTAAAACAAGAGTTAACTGAAAGGACTGAACTAATAGAAAACTGAAGTAATATTTTTTACTTTTGCTTGGAAAATTGCTGATCCTTTTGTTTTTAGAGTCAAGGAAACATTTTGAGCTATTTATGGCCTTTAATAACTAAGTAAGGTATACTACTGTGAACACAATTTGGAACATATTTGTCTCTCTCTCTGCCTGGCTTCTCCGGGATTTGGAAACTAGTTGTAAGTATTCTTAACTTATGACAATATAGTTGTTTGCATCAGTGCAATAAGAATCCATTTTCTTTTGCAACAAGACACAATTGGAGAAACTGGTTGTTTTACCAAGGCTTTGACTAGAAGGGTATGCTCACCTTTAAGGAGTCAAGCTCGATTTGCAGAGCCAACAAAAGACCCTTGGGAAAACTGGCCTCATAACTGGTCTACACAGTCCCCATACAGGGTTCCTAACCTGTGGTGAGTAAAGCATGTCACTTTCTAACAGGTCCAGGAACTCCATGCTATTGGGACCTCAAGAAGAGAGTTGTTTACCCAGCTTACAAGTATTTGAGGGTACAATCTCAGCTTTAGAAAGGCCTATCTGACATTCCTTGTGAAACAGAGTTCCATCAAAGCCCATGTAAATCTAAAAGGCCCACGTTAAAATAATTATGCTTGCTGCTCTTTATGCAAATAATCAGGCCAAGTATAAGACTAAAGTCTGTTTTGCAAACAACTCAGTCCTATCATGATTTGTTTTTAAAAATGAGGACTGGAGAGAGACATTATGTTTCAAAACTTATCATACGTTTGTCATTAAACTCTAGACTCATTCGTTGTTTTTGCGTTTTGCCTACATTTTAGACTAACCCTGCTTATTCCTGTGAACCAACCAGCCATCTCCAACTGCAGCTCAGAAGGAACAAAAGGGGATGGGTAATGTAAAAATCTGGATCCATATTTAATTCTGAGCAATGATCCTGCAAATCCTGCCAGGTGATGGGAATAAATATAGTGCCCATCACCTGGAGGTTTCCTTTTTGTGAAAGTAAGACCAAGGGAGCTAACCAAAGCCAAGCCCCATGCACCCAGACCTTAGCAAGCATAACTATATCCACCAGTTATCAGGGCATGTCACAGGACATCCTTTTCTCTCCCTTGTTGGAGGAGGACTCAATTCCGCAGCTTCACCTTACCATTCAGCCTATGATAAGGAGTCCATGCAACCTCCTCGAGACACATTTTTGTCCCAAACTCAATTTCAACCTTTGGGTCAAAGCCCTAGAAAAGAAAATTGGATCTGAAGGACCCAGAGGCAGATGATAATGAAGTTAAAAGGCACAGCACAGGTGAGTGATTCCTGCAGGTTAAGCCAAGCCTCCCGTTTCATGGATAAAGGTCATGCTAGTATCCAAGGCATAAGCGAGGTCTAGGCAATTCAGAGGCTACTGATAGCAAGGGAAATAGGACGAACATGGGTGAGAGCAGATACTCCCACCCCCTAGGCCCCCCTGGTAACATGGGTGAAAGCCGATTTGACACCCATAGGTGGCACCCTGTTGTGGTCACTGGGACCCAGGGATATGAGGATGGAAGAAGAAAGAAGGTTGCCTCACTTTATCTCCCTCACATACCCCAGGTATTTGCTAGGAAGAGAAGGGAACCTGGGATGCCTCAATTCCCTCCTTCTAGTGGGTAGCCATCCATCTTCATCTGTACCCCTTTTAAATGCATCCTGACCCCCTGGGACTCCTTTGAAAAAAAAAAACCCTTCTTTTTTTCCTATCTCTTCCTCTGTCCTGTCTTCATAGATAGGTAATTGTGTCTCTGTACAATGGGACACTCCCCTCAGATGCATCCTCCAAACTGGGAAAAGTTAATTTCCCAAACCTTAAACTGGTTGGCTTAGGACCGGACTCAGGGGAAGGGATCCCAGAAGAGCAACATGCCGGCAAAAGGGTCAAGGTTTTATTTTTTATTATTACTTTTTATTTTTTTAACCAGTTGGGTTTTTGGCCTCCCTCTCCTTCTACAGTTTGGGAAAAGGCCTCAGGATTTTTGAGTTGTCCTTAACCCCCAATTATTTCATTTCAATACATGTTTTCTAATAACCTAGTTTGTCTCCTCTCGCCTTCAGGCCATCAAACTCCAATCGGTCTTGCAAGGGGAGCCTTGGACGGTAGCCTTCTGCTGGGAACCCTTAAATAGGCCTCTGAGGGAGCTCTGACTGCTGTTTCCCCAAAACAGTGCCCCTGTCAGCAGGAAGCAATTAAGACTTCGTCCTTATTCTTATCCTTATTCTAACACCAATTAGATGTACTTCTTTAGAGGGGGAATGACAGCTGCAGGAGACAGATGAGGGAAGCTGCCCAGGGCTTTGTCTGCACATGCCCACAACGGACTGGGGACCCACCTGCATACTGGGAAGATGCGGTGGAGCCATGGGAAGTTTGGGCCTTATGCACGGGGAGCCTTGTCTCTGGCTCATGTGTGGTGGCCTGGAATTCAATCTGTGTGGTGAGAGCCTGTTGGCAGGACCTCTTCTTTTGCTGAGAGCTTTTTGTTAGTAAATTCTGCTTTCCTCACCTTTCAGCGTGTTCACGTGCCTAACTTCTTCCTGGTTGTGGGATAAGAACCCAGGTTTTCGCTGAGCTAAGGAGAAGTTGTGTATCGATGACACATGGACTGCGTGAATACTACATGGAGTGTGGACATGTGAACTATGGAAAAATCCCACCTAAGCAGGAGACGCAATTTCCAAACAATTACCTACTTCACTTTTCAGTATTTTATTAAATATTATGTTTGTGCTGTTAGCAGAAAAATCAAACTCTGTAAAATTAAATTTTAAAGAGATATTCTGAGCCAACATGGCTGATGATGACCCATGGAAACACAGTCTCATGAGGCCTGAGAAAGTGTGCCTGACGTGTTGGGTTATGGTGTTGTTGTTGTTGTTTTGAGATGGAGTTTCTCTCTGTTGCCCAGGCTGGAGTGCAGTCGCACGATCTCAGCTCACTGCAACCTCCACCTCCCGGGTTCAAGCGATTCTCCTACCTCAGCCTCCTGAGTAGCTGGGATTGCAGGCATGCACCACCATGCCCAGCTAATTTTCGTATTTTTAGTAGAGATGGGCTTTCACCATGTTGGTCAGGCTGGTCTCAAACTCCCGACCTCAGGTGATCTGCTCATCTCAGCCTCCCAAACTGCTGGGATTACAGGCCTGAGCCACCATCCCCGGCCCATGGTTTGGTTTTATACGTTTCAGGGAGACAAGAGTTATAGGCAAAGACATATATCAATACATGGAAGGTATACATTGGTTCAGCCCGAAAATGAATGTGAAAGGAAAATCAATCTTGGGGCCCCAAAATCACTAAGCTAAAGGGAAAATTCAAGCTGGGAACTGCTTAGGTTAAACCTGCCTCCCATTCTATTCTGCCGAGACCAGCTCGGTCGGAGAGACCCTAACCCAGCAGCACTAGAGGAATTAAAGACACACACACAGAAATATAGAGGTGTGGAGTGGGAAATCAGGGGTCTCACAGCCTTCAGAGCTAAGAGCCTTGAACAGAGATGAGATTTACCCACGTATTTATTGACAGCAAGCCAGCGATAGGCAGTTTCTATAGATTACAGATTAACTAAAATTATTCCTTACAGGAAACAAAGGGATGGGCCGAAATAAAGGGATGGGCTCTGGCTAGTTATCTGCAGCAGGAGCATGTCCTTAAGGCACAGATCGCTCATGCTATTTTTTGTGGTTTAATAACGCCTTTAAGCGGTTTTCCGCCCTGGGTGGGCCAGGTGTTCCTCACCCTCATTCCGGTAAACCCACAACCTTCCAGCGTGGGCGTCATGGCCATCACGAACATGTCACAGTGCTGCAGAGATTTTGTTTATGGCCAGTTTTAGGGCAAGTTTATGGCCAGATTTTGGGGGCCTATTCCCAATACTATTCAAAGTCATCCCTCTGCTCACTGAGGTAAGTGCGTATCTGATTGCTTCCTTTGGAAAGGCTAATCAGAAACTCAAAAGAACGCAACCATTTGTCTCTTATCTACCTATAACCTGTAAGCCACCCCCTCCCCACTTTGAGGTGTCCCACCTTTGCTTCAAGTTGTCCTGCCTTTCTGGACCAAATCAATGTTCATCTTAGACATATTGTTGGATGTCTCATGTCTCCCTAAAATGTTTAAAATCAAGCTTGCTCCAACCATCTTGGGCACACGTCAGGACCCCTTGAGGTTGTGTTACGGGCAGGTGTCCTTAACCCTGGCAAAATAAAATTTCTAAAATGGCTGAGACCTGCCTCAGATATTTGGGGTCACAGGCAGAATACTGTGAATGGGGGGCTTAGAGGTTGTAGGTAGATTCAGAGATTATTTCATTTGCAATTGGTTAAAGGAATAAAGCTTTGTATAAAAATTTGGAGCAGGCAGAAAAGAATGTTTAACATCAGGAAGTCTTCGAACCAATACACTGGGTCAGTGTGACCTACGGGGTGTGTGACTTAACCCTTGTCTGGCATGAGCTTAGGTCCTGTTTATACTTCGTCAGTTTTGGGGCATTGTTTTGAGACAGGGTCTTGCTCTGTCACCCAGGCTGCAGTGCAGTGGCGCGACCATGGCTCACTGCATCCTGGAACTCCTGGGCTCAAGGGCTTTTTGCGCCAGGAAAGAAGTATGTTTTTCAGGTTTTTCTTGGGTCCCCTTGGCCAAGAGGAGGTCCATTCAATTGTTGGGGGGCTTCCAATTTTATTTTTAGTTAACAGTGCAGTTTGATACATTTTTGTGTTAATATTTAAGGGAAAATCCAGAGAAAAAAATAAAAACATATATTTAGCACTTAGATCCTTATGTTCATAGAATTTTTTGAACTTTCATTTCAATTAATATATCTATTGTTTGTTGCAAATGAGTGTGATGAGCAACAAAAGACTTTCTGGAATAGAAACACCTCTTTTACAACCGTGAGGAAGCAGATCCTCTGTGTCTTTGGAAAACGAGATCACGTTCCATGGTATTCTCCGGGCCTTCGGTCCTTTTACTCTCCCTGGCCCTTGCAGAAGGCTGGCTTAGCGGGGTCTGAGTCCACTGAGCCCTGTGCCGCCACCTATGTTAGACCCCGCAGGGCATCAGCAGCTCTCAGGGGGCCCCAGCCCAGGCCTGAGTCAGCCTCTCGGAGGCCACCAGCTGCGTTCACCAGGCGCCAAGGTCGGGAAGCACGGCTCTAGGGCAGAGCCTCTCAAATGCTCTCCCGGACCAGCCCCAGGGCTATCACCTGGGAACGCATTAGAAATGCAAATTCTCAGGCCCCACCCAGCCCTTCGGAGTCAGCAGGCCGGGCTGGGGCCAGCCCTGTCTTAACAAGCCTCGGAGTAGCTCCGATTCTCTCTATGGACTGGGAACCAGTGCTGCGGCTTCAGGGAGAAATTCAGCCACACTGAGACCAGCACCGTAAGCCATTTGGAAAGTGGGGGCAGTGGATGAGGAGGGGCAGTGGCAGGCAGGGGAATGAAGCCCAGGTTGACGAGAAAGAGTGAAATTTGAGTAACTGCAAGGAAAGGCCAAGAATCCCACAGTCAGCTCACGGCCTTGGACGTGGCTCACAGACAGGCAGGGGGAGACTTCGCAGGCTTCAGAGGGTGTCAGGGACCAGGACCCTGGAAGCAAAGGTTGGGAGCAAGGAAGCAGCGCGACCCCTCACACCCCACCTGGAGGCCTGGGTCGGGCCTGGGCGCCGGCACAGAGCTGGTGAACAGACATCCTTGGGGGAGCTCCCGCTGCAAGCACTGCGGCTGCCCAGGCAGGTCGGGGGAGACCCGGGTTCGGCTTCTTTCCAGACCTCGCAGTATTTCTGTGCCCTCACCTGGCTGTGAGCCACAGGTTCAGAGAGAGGCCAGGATTGGGGCAAGGGAGCCCAAGGAGAAGGCCGGATCCCCTCACGGGGGTGGCCCTGGATTCCTTGGCTGGGCAGAGCGTCACTGGGGATCTCCAGACAAGGGACACAGGCTTTGATTAAGGGGCCCCAGCGAGGATGTCTGTTCACCAGCTCCATGTCGGCGCCTTGGGCCCACCGAGGCCTCCAGGTGGGGTGTGAGGGGTGGCGCTGCTTCCTTGCTCCTAACCTTTGCTTCCAGGGTCCAGGTCCCTGACACCCTCTGAAGCCGGCGAGGTCTCCCCGTCCCTGCCTGTGGGCCACGTCCAAGGCTGTGAGCTGACTGCGGAATTCTTGGCCTTTCCTTGCAGTTACTCAAATTTCACTCCTTCTGGGCTGGTCCAGGAGACCCCAGCTTGGGACAGGGCCTGTGGCCCCTCCAGCAGCACGCACTGTGCCCACCCGCCACTGGTGAGGAGATTCCAGGAGAAACACTGCCACCCAAGCAGCACCCCACATGGCTGGCCTCCCCGCACCGGGCCGGCACCCCACAGTGCCAGTCACCCACCCCACTTGGCTGGCCTCTCTACACCGGGCCGGCACCCCACAGCGCCAGTCACCCACCCCACGCGGCTGGTCTCCCCGCACCGGGCTGGCACCCTGCAACGCCAGTCACCCACCCCACGCAGCTGGCATCCCCGCACCGGGCCGGCATCCCACAACGCCAGTCACCCACCCCACGCGGCTGGCCTCCCTGCACCGGGCTGGCACCCCGCAACGCCAGTCACCCACCCCACGAAGCTGGCCTCCCCGCACCGGTGCCAGCACCCCGCCGCGCCAGTCACCCAGAGTCCTCCTGCCCCAGGAATGAAACCATCCTCAGGCCGGGCGCTGTGTCCTCAGTGGTGGTGTCTAGGGATGGGGTACACAGCCCAGCCTCTGCCCAGGGCTCGGAAGCCCTTGGCCAAATCCCGGCTACTCCCTGCTCCGGCAGGCTGAGCGATGCCCGTGCATGCTGAGCCAACCAACCAACAAATGTCCCTGCCTTGTGTGCCGTGTGCATGCCGGGGCGGACGGCCTGCTTGCTATGGATGTGGGGCTCCCTGCAACCCCATGAGGCCCTGCAGCAGCCTGGCTGTGTCCCCGCACCCCTGTGTGTTGGCAGAGGTCAACACCACCGGACCCCTCCACGCTGGCCCCCTGCCTCTCCATTCCCGCTTCCTCCCTGTGAACGTGCTGTCATACCGACCCCTCCACACTGGCCCCCTGCCTCTCCATCCCCGCTTCCTCCCTGTGAACGTGCTGTCATTCCGACCCCTCCACACTGGCCCCCTGCCTCTCCATCCCCGCTTCCTCCCTGTGAATGTGCTGTCATTCCCGCTTCCTCCCTGTGAACGTGCTGTGCCCTAAAGCCACGCTTCCTCCAAAGGCTGCACTCCATCCGCCCAGGTGATAAGAGTCGCTCAGACACTGTTGCTTATACGGCCGCACACACATCTCTAGCTGGTTTCTTGTTCCAATAATACTGGTATTTTTTAAAAGCAAATTTGATTCCTTGATCCACCGTGGCTGGGTGTTTTGTAAAAGGTAGAATTAAATACCAGGTGTGTGTTAGATAATTGAACCAAGCTCACAAGGCACAGGTCAGTGAGTGTGACAATTGTCAGAGGCAGGCAGAGACCGTGATGGCCTCGGCTCTTACAGAGAACATTCCCCAAGGGAGCAAAGCCTGGCAGGAGGCCTCCCTTGGAATTCACCAGAAACTTCAGATGCCAGTTACAGGGGAGCATCGAAACCGAGAATGCCGCATTTATGCCCAGGCCCTCGCCCGCAGCGACCTAACCCCTTCCAGAGGCTCTGCTGGCTGGGGCTTGCACCTCTTCCCTGCAGCCGCTGGAGATCCCATGTCTGTTCCTGCACCCCGCAGGGTGAACCTTCAGAGGCCCAGCGCCAGGGTCCCTGTGCTGCTGAGAATGAAACCCGCCCTTGGGGGATGAAGTGCCTCTCCACCAGCTCCGGGGTCACAGTGTCGCTAAAACATCCGGCTGGGCTCTGCAAAATGGCGTCTTGGGGGCACAGCCTCTTCACAGCCACAGGGCCTCCCGGGAGGAGCACAGGCTTCTGGGTGTGCTCTGTCCCTGGGACCCTCAGCTCACAGGCCAGGAGGTGGGACCCCGGTGGCTGAGGAAATGGCCACACGCTCCCCATGTCCCGTGCGACTGCTATGGAAAGAGGTGATTCCCTAAAGGAAATGGGGGAGGGGGCGCCACCCAAATCAGGGAGAATGGGTGCTGTGGCCGAATACACAAACGTGTCGCCGTAGCATCTCACAGGCCCCACATCCAAAACAGGCCCCACATCCATTGCTCCAAACCTGCTCCCGGCCCCTCGGTCCTCCCCATGGCTCCAGCCGCCCCCTGCCCGGTGTCCCACTGGCAAGCCCTCGTCCTCCCTTTCTCCCTCCGCCCCCTCCAAGCCATTGGCCCATCCTGTGGATTCCACTCCGAATCCAACTCAGATTAATCAGCACAACCTGTGGACTCCACTTTGCATCCATCTCGGATCAATCGGCCCATCCTGTGGACTCCACTCCGAATCCATCTTGAGTGCACCTGCTGTCTCCCTCTCCATAGTGCCCCCTGGCGCCCCCGCCCCCACTTAAGCCTCCAGCCTCCCAGCCTCCCAGCCTCCTCCTCCCTCAACCCGACTCACCAGCAAGAGGGACCCCTTGAAGACCCGAGTCCCAGCGTGCGGCTCCTCAACCTCCTCCAGTCTCTCCTCGCAGGAGGGTAAGCTCCAAACCCCCAGGCTGCCCGACGGAGCCCACGGCACCAGACTTCTCCCCACCAGCTCTGCCCAGGAGGCCTCTGCAGGAGGCCCCGGCCCACTGGCTCCTGGACCCCTCACCCTCTGCTCAGCCCGGCCTTTGCCTGTGATGCTCCCAGAACGACCCTTTACAGCTACTGCAGATGGGAAGCCCCCTCCCCCCCGCCCGGGGCTGTGTGGGTTCATGGGGTGCGCCCTGGGCCGCTCCTCACCGCCTGGAGCGCTGGATGCTCCCTTCATCCATTTTCACTTGTGTATCGTCCATCTCCCCAAATCCACGAGGCCCACAGCTGCCGAGCGTTTTCTCCACTGTTATCCTAGCACCAAGCACAATGCCGGCCACCTGATGGGTAGTAAATAAGTGTAGAGAGAAAGAGAGGGAGAGAGGGAGAAACAGGAAGGAAGGAGAGTGGGAGGGAGAGAGGAAGGAAGGGAGGGAGGGACAAAGGGAAAGAGGGGGGAAGGAAAAGGGAACTTGTAAACTTCTAACATTTAACAATTTGTTGGCAGATTACTGCATAAAGATGTGATTTTTGGCAACAGGAGCCAGGAAATGCTCAGTGCTGCTTCATGTGCTGAGCCTCTGCCACTGCACATGGCCTCACTGCCCGGGGCCGACAAGCTATGTGTGCATGCGAGAGTACATGTGTGTCCATGAATGCGTGTGAGCATGAGTGCACGTGCATGTGTGAGTGCGTGTGCACGCATGCTTGTGTGCATGTGTGCTGTGTGTGCACGTGTATGTGCATGTGAGGGTATGTGCATGTGTGTGAGTGTACCTGTCTAACCAGCAACAGCCTCATTAGATTCCAAGGCTGCGTGAGTCACCTCCTGCCACAGGTAATTAAAACTGGGGAAAGGCCCGTGGCTTTGAATGGGGCAGATAGAATCTAGCCAGATAAAGGAAATGATTGCATCTCCAGGTGGCTGAAGGGGAGGAAGCTGGACTCATTCCGAGTGTGACTCCAGGTTTTCAAGTGTAAAACACGAGGAGATGTCAGTCGGGTGCCACTGCTAATGAGGCAGCCCACAACTGGTCTCGACGTGCGTCTGTGCCTGTAAAAGATGAAAGTGCAGCAGCACCCTGAGAAATCACACATCTTCGCCGTCAGTACCGCTCAGGGCCCCAGCTACCTGTTCTGCGTGTCTGTGGCTGGGCTGTGTAGTAGAATCCCGTGTCAAAGCACCCACCCTCAGAGGCTCCTGGGGGAGGCCCGGTTCTGTCCAGCAGCATGGGAGAGAGATGGTGCTGATGAAGAGGACAACACGGGGCTGTCTGCAGAGCACCTGCCACGCGCCAGGCTCTGTGTCCACAAGCACGGCGGCTGCTCCCACATGACGGAGCTCGTGCGGCAGCTCCAGGACTGTCTGGTGCCAGAGCCCCAGCTCTCCGCCAGCCCCAGGCCACTGTGCGAGGCCCTCAGTGAAGAGGGGGCCGTGGCTTTGACTGCAGGATGCACGGGCTCGGGGTCGGTTTCAGTCAATCCTTGATTTCTCATCGTTGCAGCTTCTCAGAGGAGTCAGTTCACAACGAGCAGAACAGCTTCCTGGAGAATCCTCCACACAGGAGGTAACCATGGAAAAAGTGTCTACATATGGCTCTGATATGAAAAACTAAGCTCTGGACTTAAAACAGTGTAGCAGTCCATAAACCAGAGAGGTGAAGTGAAGAGACCCACCTGAGTGTGTGCAGCAGCAGCCCAGGCCGTCTGTGCCCTCCTCATGCTGAAGACCTTTCCAGAGCTCGAAAAACACGTCTAAAACCTCGTGAATACCATCAAAGAGGTAACAAGCCAGTGAGCACTCCTGGGTCAAGACCCGAGAGAGGATAGAAAGTCAAGAGATGGGCCCAGGGTTTGGAACCGCTTTGCTCTGGAGGTATTTGAAAACCTGCAGGAGGCAGCTAAGTAACTGAGCTGAGTCGCCCATGACCTGGAGAACAGGAACTGAGGTCTGCCCAACAAAGGTGGGTGCCCCAGGCCGGGCGCGGTGGCTCATGCCTGTAATCCCAGCACTTTGGGAGGCCGAGGCGGGCGGATCACGAGGTCAGGAGATCGAGACCATCCTGGCTAACGTGGTGAAACCCCGTCTCTACTAAATATACAAAAAATCAGCCGGGCGTGGTGGCGGGTGCCTGTAGTCCCAGCTACTTGGGAGGCTGAGGCAGGAGAATGGCGTGAACCTGGGAGGCGGAGCTTGCAGTGAGCAGAGATGGCACCACTACACTCCAGCCTGGGCGACAGAGTGAGACTCTGTCTCAAAAAAAAAAAAAAAAATGGTGGGTAACCTGGGAAGCACCTCTGCCTCATGCCAGGACCCAGAAGGGATGCATTCTAGGACCAGGGTGAGCAGAATACAAATTAGCCCTTGCACAGCCTGCAGCCTGGCTTCTAGGCATTCAGGCCAGGAAAACATCAAACCCAGAAATTATGTTAAGGCAATCTCCAAATACTGATGCCAGCAGGCACCTAGCAGAAGCCATTTGTAAAATCCTATCTGGAAGAAAATAACACTATACCAGGCCTCAAATTATTTTTTATGAATAAGTTTTCAAATAAAATGCCCAGAATATAAAGATGACCAAGCATACAAGGATACACAACCACATGAACAAAAACTGGCCAAAACAACAGAAAATAGACCCTCAAAGACTCCAGATTAGACATAGATGTAAACATCTGGGCAAGCTTGGAAATTTTGGCAGGAAACTAGAAATTATGAAAAGTGGAATCTGCATGTTTGAAACACTACAAACAAATTGCCACAAACTTAGAGGCTTAAAATAACATAATTTATTCTCACACAGTTCTGGAGGTTGGAAGATCAAAATGAGTGTCCCTGGACTATTCCAACATATTTTTAACTCCAATCCCGGAAGGAAAGGGGAGAGAAAATGGGGAGAAAGGAACATTTAAACAGATACAAGCTGGCAATTTTCCAAAACTGATAAAATGCATCATTCTGCAGATTTGAGAGACCAAGAGAAATCCAAGCTGGATAGATAAAAAGAAACACCATAGTGAAACTACAGAAAACTAAAGTCAAAGCATTACAGCAGCCAAAGAAAACTGCAGACTTCCTTCAGAGGAGCCACAGGAAGCCGCACAGTGTTCATGGAAGCCAAGAGACAGTAGGGAGGCATTTCCGGTCCACTCCCAATCTACGATCCCCCACCACGCAAATGCCCCTGGATGCAACCCCCATTCTTTGTACAGCAGCTGGGTTGGTAAAATAGAAACTTCAATATCCTGCCACCTGGGGGACCACTCATTCCCCAAACATTTAGAGGGGACTGTTCTGTATAACGGGTTAAATGTCTTCTGGGTGACAGAGCAAGGCCCTGTCTCAAAAAAAAAAAAAAAAAAAAAAGAATACCATCTAGACCCTCTTTGTAATAATTTATTTGAGACCCTTTGAGACCACCCCCCCCCCGTAAAAATTCAAATTACTTTTTAATTTGCAAAATTTATTTAAGGGCTGGGCACAGTGGCTCACGCCTGCCATCCCGGCACTTTGGGAGGCTGACACAGGAGGACCGCTTCAGCCCAAGAGCTTGAGACCAGCCTAGGCAACATAGCAAGACCCCATCTCTACAAAAAATACAAAAATTAGTCAGGTGTGGTGGTGCATGCCTGTAGTCCCAGCTATTTGGGAGGCTGAGAAGGGAGGACTGCCTCAGCCTGGGAGGTTGAGGCTGAGGCGAGCCGTGATTATGCCACCACACTCCAGCCTGGACAACAGAGTGAGACCCTGTCTCACACACACAAAAACATTTAAGAATGAACAGAACTGGAGTGATGGAGAAGAAGAGGGAGGAGGGCACTAATACTGAAGTTCAGGAATGTGGGAAGGTTCTAGAAGGCCAATGGCTACAGCACCAAAGCATGCTGGAGGAGCAGGGAGGTCTGGACACCAGGCATGACCCAAAGGGCCCCAGATCTGCTTTGCAGGGCCACCAGACCCCACATCGAACCCTGTGGACAAACGTTTCTCTTGAGACTTGTCTGCTGCGGTTTGCCACACTTACTACAGTTACCACGGGACTGAACGAAGGAGGACAAATGCAGAAATGAAAACTTAAACTGTTGGAAAGAAGGGGTTTGGGGAAGAAGAAGAGGGCTCCCTGCTTCTAGTGAGCAAGGGCCACCGCCGCGAGCTTCTACAGCCCTTCATATTTATTAGGTAGAAAGAGCAGGGAGGAGGAGGTAACGATCGGAGGGCTGCTTGATTGATCACAGGTTCACATTATTGCTCACAGGCTTCAGATGTGCCTCATCACAAGAAACACCGCGCTTGACGCGTAACTGCCCTCAGCATTTCTTCGGGGCAGCAGACGCAGTTTGTCAGTTTGCCAGCATTCTGCATTTATGAGAACAGTTTGCTGTCTACTCATACAGCCTCCAGTGGTATACTGAGTGGATCACGACCCTCACTCTTTCGGCCTGCAACACTTGTCTAGTCTTAGCATGTGATGGGGCCTCTGCTTCCCTGCTCCCCTCAACAGCTGTCCAGCCGTCTTAAGGACACAGTCAAGAATATGAACAAAGATAGTGTTTGCAATGGTTTTCATGGTAGAAAAGACCTGACTGCCACAGGGAAGACTGATAGGGCCTCTGAGGTGGCTCTGAAGTGGGGGGCCACTCAGACGCCTGAATGCCAACTGGAGGGAATGTGCGTAGGGCCTGAGAAAGGCTGAGAAAGGCTGTGAGTCTGGGATCAGGAGACGTGCAGGGCTGAACGCCGTCTGTGCCCTGGAGTCGGTCACTATAGTCCATCGGGGCCCCATCTCGGCGCCGGAGACACCAGCAGACAGGCAGCATGCAAAGGCTCCCACTTGCTTCTGACCAGGCCCACCCTCGCCACCTCTGCCATCCCCAGCATCCTGGTACAGAGCACTGTGCCGGGTATTAAAATATAACATGTGTCCAAAGACAGGGCACGAGATCAGGGCACCAAGAAGCAATTATCAGCAGTGCTGATCCAGACCATGGATATATTTTAGATCCAGCTTTTTGCTAACCTTTCTTTTCTAATTTCTCCAAAATGATCATAAATTGATTTTTCATTGAAAATTAAAAGGCTTTTTTCAGTGTTTTGTCTATTTAAGGAGAGGCCACTGCCACGGTCCAGCTGAGAGAGAACAACCTAGAATGCAGGTGGGGTAGTTTGAGAATCACCAGGACATGGGGCCATGTGTTCAGGCAGGGCCTGATGGGGAAGATACGGGGACCCTGGGACCTGATGGGGCAGCTGGGGGTGGTGACTGGAGCTCCAGCCACAATGACTGGACCACTCAGACAGTTTGGGACAGGGAGGGTAGGGAGGGCGTGCACTGACGTTTCAAGAAAACCATGAGGAGACTGTGGAGGGAGGCAAGTGCTGGAAAGCAGATGCCCAGTTGGAATCCCAGAGAGCCCAGGTGGAAGAGGCAGCTGAGGAGGGGCTGCCAAAGAGGAGACCACACAGTAGAGAGCTGGGGGGTGGGGGGGGGGTCAGAAGAGGTGTGGAGACGGAACCCCAAAGTCCCTGAACGCTGAAGACCAGCACAAGGCTGGGTGAAATACGAAAGCATCAGTGGAGGTAGTTTAAAGAGGAGCTTGGCTGACAGTTCCCTTAAGCCCCCAGCAGAAGCAAAAGCAAATGGTCTCGGGGGAAACACACCTCCAAGGCATGCCTGGCTCAGAATGGACTGGGCACACAGAGGGAAGGCCCCAGTGTCTGGGGGGCTGGACTCCCTTCCTAGAAGTGCCACGAGGCAGTGGCAGAAGCCCCACCAGCCTGGGTCCCTGAGTGACTCTGTGGAACAGAGCCCCTCTGAAGATCTCACTGGACTGGTTGGTAATGAATGCGAGAAGCAAACTTACCTCAAGCCCTAAGATTTGGGAACCATTTGCTTCTGCAGCATAAGCCAGGCCCACTCTGACTGACAGAAACATGTCCCCAGCCGGGACCCCCACAAAACCATACGCAGGCCACAGGTATTTGCCGCATGAGTGGCCACAGGCAGCCCGGTGTGGTCCACAAACCCCCAGGGCCAGTTCCTGAGGCCCAGCATGGTCCTGCAGCCAGAGGGTGCCACCTCCCTGGCCTGTGGGGTCTTCCCCCAATGCCACCCACTCAGCCCTCAGGGATAGGTGGAAGGGGCCAGCCAGTGTCCGAGGCAAACCCCTCAGGCTGCACTCTCTGCCAGTGCGGAGCTCCAGGTACAATGAGCGACACCCTCAGCCACCAAGGCCCAGCTGGGGTGTGAGCCGGCACCCATGGGTGACCTCCTCTACCACCTGCATGCAGGTGGACATGGCAGCAGCAGCCTGATATGGGGGCTGCAGGGACCCCAGCTCCCCCTGCAGAGACACTCACCTGGTAACCAAGCCTGTGTAGGCTGGCAAATCAGATGATTCAGGTGGCTAATTTATTTATGACAAACAGGCTAAATGTAGGTTAATTACTTTGTAATCATTGTCTGGAGGGCACATGGAGGGACCAGAGGCGGTCCACACACACTGAGTGTGGGCAAGTGAGAGCTGTCTCATGGGGCTGCTGCCAGCTGCCCGGGGCCCTGCAGGCTGGAGGTATCTGCCCCGCGGCAGGCGCCCCAGGAGTGGGACGAGCCCAGGTGGAGGAACATCAGGCGTCACCTGTCCAGGGCTTGCACACTGGTGCCCTGGGCAGTTCGTGGTGCACACCTGTGTGTATGCGGAGCCTGTTTGCCCCCAGGTCCTGCAGCCCCTCATCCTACCCTGGAGCTGTGTCTTTGTGGTCCCTCGTAAACGTGGGGCCCCTTGTGATACCTGGGGCAGCCCCTCCTCACTGTCGCCAGCTGGCCCCTGGGCTCCCGCCACAGTCTCCTCCTTCCTGGGCTCCATCCTTTCCCATACAACAGGACAAGTGAACATTCCCGAAGGTCAGTCTGGATCCCGGGCTACAGGGCCCCCCAGAGCTGTGCCACGCCTCCCTCACATCCCCCACCCCCAGGCACAGCCCTACCAGGCCAGCTCAGGAGCCCCTGCCTCTCCCTAAACTCCAAAGCTCCACCCTCATTCCAGAACGAGCTGCTGCCCTGAACCCTCCCCACCCTGACCTGGCTCCTTCTGCTGAGGCTCCAGCCCTCCCTGAGCCCGCTGAGGCCGAAGCCCCACCTTGGGGCCACGCTCTCCAATCAGCCGGCCACTTTGGCTGAGGCCGAAGCCCCACCTCGGGGCCACGCTCTCCAATCAGCCGGCCACTTTGGCTGACAGTGGCTGGTAGGCTTCTCCAGCTCCCACAGCCATGGAAGCGAGGGACTGCTCCACCCCTACAGAGGGCTCTGGTTGGGCACACAGCAAACCCCACCACAGTGGGAGGGCCCGGCCACCAGGCCAGCATGCCCTCCTGCCAGCCCCCTGTGAGCCACAACCCAGAAAGAGCCTGGAGCTGAGCGGCCCCTGCTGCCCCGTGGCCCCTCTTCTCCCCGTGGACATCAGGCCAGTGGTGTTGCCAGATGACCATCCCTGCCCAGGGGGTCTTGCCCTCATGGCAGTGGTTGGTGTCCTTGCACAGAGCCCAGTGACAACCCCCCACGGCCAGCTCAGGGCACCGACACTGATGGGCAGCGGCCTCTCTGAGATGGGGCTTCTGGCCTTTCCTGCTTCTTTGGATGGGCCTTAGCCAAGGTCTGTCGGAATCTCCAAACCAGGCCTCCAAACGCCGAGTGTGGGCTCAGACGCCCAATGACTAAAGCCAAAATGAGCATCACATAAGCTCTGAATGCGCTCTTTAAAGGGTGACGAACAGGTGTCAAAACTGAACTTATGTTTGCTTGCGTCCCCTCCCTGGAGGTGCGCGGCCCTCACTCTCTCCCTGCAGCAGACTTCAGGAGAAAACGCAGAAGATTTGGCTGCACCCACTCCTGCTCCTCAGAGTGCTGAGCAAGAGCGGTCGGTCTGAGCAGTCGGGCAGAGTTGTACCTGCAAAAGGCAGGCCACAGATTACCAACGTTCCCATCGCTATTTCACGATTTTCAAATTAAAAAGTGACACATATTGGCTCTAACAAGGGAATCAATACAAAATAAAGGTGTGAATTCCCTCAAGGTTCTGCTGCTGACTAGAATGGGGGCCTAGTCCTGGACTAGCACGTCTGCCCTAAACAGTCAAACACTGGACGGAACGCACAGGCACCAGTCTACAGGCGCGGGTGGGTGAAGGCTGTGATCCAGGGGGAAGGACACACTGCAGATGCCACAGCTCCCTTCCCAGGGCAATTTCTACCCAGGCACAGAGGCTTGACTCCAGGCAGAGCCTGGCAGGGCCCCTGAGCCTAGGAGCTGGAGACGGAAGCAGGAGGGCACAGAGGCGGGGCCTAAAATTCATGGGGCCCCAAGGCCTCAGCTGGGTGCTGCTGCATTTGCCCGGAGGGAGCACGTGGCAACCTACAGAGAAGCTGCCTTGGGCTGAGGGGGGAGGAAACAAGAAGTGGAGGGTGCTGGGGACACAGAGCTCTGGCCAGGCCAGCATGGAAAGAGCCCCCGAATCCCTCTGAGATCCCCTGGGCATCCAGCCGAGAAACTAGAAAGGCCACAACTGAGAAGTGAGGAAGACACCCTCAAGTAGGTCTACCCTAGACGCTGGCCATGCCTAAAGGCAAGCCCTGGCAGGAGCCACAGGAGAGACGGAGGGTGGACACGGAGTCCCACTCAGGTACAGAGACTTGGGAGGCCCTTGTGACATTTCTCAGACTCCACCCAACAAATGGTAAAACCAAACTCGGACCAATTCAGGTGGACCCACCAGTTCTCAAGCGCCAAGGGGACCAAGAGCAACAGTTCTCTTCTGGAGAAGGGGAGAGTCCAGGGCGTCTTCCACGAACAGTTACATTGCTTTTCTCTCCACGCTCATCACTGCCTTGTTCTGAGGCAGCTCCAGCTGTGCTGAGCTGCACGGAGCAGGGGAGACATTCTCAGAGCATTCCAGATTCCAGCCAGAGACGGTGGGGAAGGGGCCCTGGAGCTCCTGGGAAGAGGGCTGGGCAAGGCCTCTCACTCAGGCATGGACCAAAGAATGTTCTTGGCTCCCCAAAGCTGCACACACACAGAAAAGGTCCACGCCGCACAGAAAAGCTCCCGAGAGCTCTGCCGCCACCACCAGAGTCTGGAAACATAACATTCAAAATATTCACATAAAATTACTCAACATATAGTGAATTTAAAAATTACAATTCTCGAGGAAAAGATAATCAACAGATGCCAACCCCAAGACGCAGCCGAGGCTGGAACCATCAGACGAGGCTCTAAGGCAGTTCCGGCAGCGTCCTCTGGAGGCAAAGGTGAGCACACCTGGGCTGCGTGAGAGGACAGGCGTTCCCAACAGAGAAACGGAGAGCAGGAAACAAACCTACACAAAGACTGTAGAACTAAAAAATACAACATACGAAATACAAATTTTACCCCATGGGCGCACAGCAGAATGGAGATGGTGGAAGAGTCAGTGGCCTTGAAGATGGGTGAATAGAAACGGCACATTCTGAAGAACAGAGAGCAAAGGGTGAGTGTGTATGTGTGTGTGAGCACGTGTGAGTGGCTGTGTGCCTGGGCGTGTGTGGGCGTGGCACTGTGTGGGTGAGCAGGTGTGGGGGTCTGGCATGCGAGGGTGGTGCAGGGGCGTGGCCGGGTAGCTCCCTGGTCCATTCCCCACCCCACTGCCCTCCAGCACCTGGTGTTCGGCATGTCACGGGCTCTGCCCTCCTCTCCTTCCCTGTCACCACCCACATCGTTGTCTATGGCAAACCCCAGCCCTGGGTTCTCAAACAGAAGCAGCCCAGTGGAAGGTTAGGCTGACTCGGTCCAGCTGAGTTCCGGGGTTGGGTCCCTGTTTGCAGGCCCATTGGCCAGCACCCCAGTCTCTGCCCGCTGGAGGCCGACAGCTCCTCACTGTGACAACCAGAAAGGTCTGCAGATGCCGCCCAGTGTGCCCAGGAGGCCAGGCAGCCCCTCGTTAGGAACCCCTGTGACAAACACAGAAGGGGACTGGGTTGGAGATCACACTCAACTGGAGGTTACGTTTTCACATTTCTTGCTAGAAGCAACCGGAATGGATAGGCATTGGCAAGCCGATTCCAGGACCTCTGGCCAGGAAGCCCAGGGCCTGCAGCTCTCTGTCCAGCTCCCAGTGTGCTAAGAGTGGACCTTGGCCATGCCGCAACTGCCAACTTCAACCAGGAAGGGCTGCCACAGCTAGGCTCGCTACGTACCCTTGCTAGGTAGCTAATTCAGTCTCGTCAGAGCCACCAGACACAGACTCTCGTGACCCCACGGCATCAAGGAGGGTTACGTGGCTGGTGGGGGCAGGATGAGGAGCCAACCTGTCTTCCATCCAGGGACGCAGCTCCCAGGCCCAGATGGCGACCCAGCTCCACCCAGCCCTGGGGTCTTTGTAGGCAGGCCCAGGAGTGGCCAGCTAAGGGCACGTGTTTGTCTTGCCCACGTCCCCATCAGTTCCAGGGATCAGGTTCTTGCCACATCCACCTCTCAGCAGCCCCTGTGGGAGGAGAGAGGGGTGTGCTCCAACGCTGGCTGCCTGCAGGGCTGCTCTGGGGCTGGGATGAGTAGCCTTCCCAGGTGCCCACTCTGGGCTGCTCGGGCCCTATCTCTACCATGTACGCCCCTGGAGCCCACGAGCCGCTGGCCTCACTGCCCTGGGCTCCACCCTCCATAGCAAGTCAGGGCTGACACGACAGGACACCTGCGGAGCAGCCCAGGCGCGAGGGAAGAGACAGAGACAGATGGAGAGACAGAGACCGAGAGATAGAGAACTTCACAAAAGAGCAGGCCAAATGCTTTGCTGGAACTGCTCCAAAGACGCCCCCACAGGCACACACACTCTCCTACATGTGTGCACATATCTGCACACAGGTGTGCACAAACACACATGCTTGGTGACGTGGAACCCGAGGTCTGGGTGGGATCGGCCCCCCCGGGACATTTGGGATCGTGCTGCAGCCCCGTCCTCTGCTTTAGGAGCTCCTTCAGGTGGGAACCAGTCCAGCAGGAGAAACCCGTGAGAATCCCAAAGTCTCTTCTGCCCTTAAGCTGCAGATGTTTCATGTGGTTCCAACTCATTTAGTATATTATCCAGGATTTCAAAGATCCATTAGCAAAGGACAACCTTCCACGTTTGTTTCCATCTGAATTGGTTCCAACGAGACAGTCCTCTGCCAGAAAGCCCCACACACGCACACAACCTGAGAACTCTTCTGGTTTCCCGCTGCTCCTCCACCAGCCCTGAGCAAACAGGAGTGCCCCGCACAGAGGCTGGGGCCATGGCAGGTGTCCAACATGCTCCCTGCCCAGCAGGGATGTGCCTGTCATGGGACGTCCAAGGGACAGGCACCCAGCACACCTGGGGTACCCACCACACCCGGACACCCAGCACACCCAGGACACCCAGCACACCCAGGCACCCAGCACACCCGGGGCACCTACACACCTGGGGCACCTACACACCTGGGGCACCTACACACCCAAGCACCCAGCACACCCAGGCACCGAGCACACCTGGGACACCCAGCACACCCGGGCACCCAGCACACCCAGGCACCCTGCACACCCGGGACACCCTGCACACCCGGGACACCCAGCACACCCGGGGCACCCTGCACACCCAGGCACCCAGCACACTCAGGCACCCTGCACACCCAGGACACCCAGCACACCCGGGGCACCTACACACCCGGGGCACCTACACACCCGGGGCACCTACACACCTGGGGCACCCTGCACATCCGGGCACCCAGCACACCCAGGCACCCTGCACACCCAGGACACCCAGCACACCTGGGGCACCTACACACCCGGGGCACCTACACAACCGGGGCACCCTGCACACCCAGGCACCCAGCACACCCGGGCATCCAGCACACCCGGGGCATCTACACACTCAGAACACCCTGCACACCCAGGCACCCAGCACACCCGGGCACCCAGCACACCCGGGCATCCAGCACACCCGGGACACCCGGCACACCCAGGCACCCTGCACACCCAGGCACCCAGCACACCCGGGCACCCAGCACACCCGGGCATCCAGCACACCCGGGACACCCGGCACACCCAGGCACCCGGCACACCCAGGCACCCAGCACACCCGGGGCACCTACACACCCGGGGCATCCAGCACACCCAGGACACCCTGCACACCTGGGGCACCTACACACCCAGGGCACCCAGCATACCCGGGCATCCAGCACAACTGGCACAACTGGGGCACCCGGGACACCTGGCGCACTCGGGGCACCCACACACCCAGCACATGCCGCCCCAGGCCCATGGAACTCGTGCTCTGATCTGAAAGTTCTCTTCAGACTCAGACTGGAATGTTGAGGATCCGAGATGGTGGCCGCCTGGTAGGGACCTGGCCCTGCGGTGGGAGGGTGAGCAGCTAGGCCCAGGACTCTCAGTGGGTGACCTCCTGGAGGGATGCCACCCAGGGTGCGGCTCCATCCACCCCACATTGGAGGAGCTCTCCTTCGGACAGGCCTGGGTGGGAAGGCATCCAGGAGCCATGTTGCTGACTGCTGCCAAGTCTCAGGTGGCCCCGTGGCTGTGCCCTGGAGGTGGCCCCATGTCACCCTTGTGAGGACGATGCCCCCTTCCCTCCTGGCACACATGTGCCCACTGCCACCTGAAGAGCTGACCGGGGCAAGGGGCACAGCTGAGGACAAGATTTCCTGACCACAGCTCAGACATGCGCTGGGCTGGGAGGGACCGAGACAGGAGATCCTGCCCCGAGAGGTGGGCGGGGGTGGCCTCCTGGACACGCCCACCACAGGGAGGGCTGCTGTCTCCCGAGCTACTCCGTGTTCTCTGTGCTTTGCACACATGGTCTTTAATCCTCACCACCACTCAGGGCTGGGATGTGACTGCCATCAAACCCATTCCCAGACCAGAAAACAAAGACCTAGACAGCTTCCCTCGCTAGCCCAGGTCATACAGCTGCTGGGGTCTGAGGAAGGCCAAGCCCCAGCAGGCTGGCCAGAGCCACCTTCAGCTGCCAGGCCCACAGCTCACCCACAGCCACTGACCAGGCAGCAGTGGGGATGCCCCACGTCAGCCTCTGCCCACAGGGCAGGACCACAGAACACATCCTGCCCTCCCTCCGACCCCCCCGCCACCCCACGCCAACTCTGCCCATGCCTATTTGGCAAGCCCCAGACAACACTCCTGGCAATGCCAGGAGCAGCTTTCAGGTCTGTGGTCCCCACACAAAGGCACCCAGCCCCACCCAGTCACACGACAGGGTGCCACTGCAAAGCCTAAACCGGAGATAGGGCCCTGCATCATCTCCCGACCACAGAGATGGGGCTGAATGCTCTGTACTTACACACCTGAAAAACCAGTTCCTTTCACTTTGCCATCCTAGCCTCTCATGAAATTGTACTCAAAAAAGAAAGCCACAGGATGCGTTCTTGTTATCCCTATGACAAGCAACTTAGAGCAACAGCACTGCCAGCTACCAGGCTGGCCGATCTTCACCCCAGCCCCCGGGGGGTTCTGATAAGGATGTAGGGGAGTGAGTCACCTGACCAGTGCACCACCCAGCTGGGGGCAGGGCCGCAGGGCCACACTTGTGGGAGGCAGACAACATGCATGGCCACTGCAGGGGGAGGAAAATCTGGAGTCTGGAGCAGAAGGAAAGTGGCTGGGGTGTCCAGAGCACTTCCCCACTGAGCTGGTGGACAGAGGAACTTCCAGGCATGTAAGGGAGGGTGCTGAGGGCCGGGCCCTGGTGTCTCCTGGCCCCGAGTGGAAGGTGAGGCTTTGCCAAGTGCAGCAGGTGGGCTAATAAGCCTGATGGTGGGGGGACTGAGAGGACCAGACCAGGGTGCGAGAAGAGACATGAGGTGGCTGTGTCGCAAAGGCCAGCACCTGAAGCGGGGGAAGGTGGAGCAGTGGAGGCTGCCCAGCAGGCCCCTGGGTCTAGGTGGACACTGCATAGGAGGGTGCAGTGGGCCTCATGCCACCAACCGCACCCCATGGAGGCAGAGGGGCCACAGTCCTGGAGGGTGGGGGGCCTTGCAGATTCAGCGATGCATCGGGGCACGGCGAGGACCATTTCTTGGCTGGGGCTTTGGCAAATGACCTCACCTCCCCCACCTCAACTCCTCAGAGCACGCCCTCGGACATCTCATGGCTGGGTTCACAGCCTTCAGAGGGGAAGATGCCCGGACGTGTGAGGACTTGCCCACTTCTGGTGTCAGAGCTCGGGCCCTGGAGGTCAGGTTCCACACAGCCAGCAGCGCTCACAGTCCAGGCATGGGAACGGGGGCACAGGAGGGGCACAAAGGTGGAGAGCCCCATCTCCCTGACGCTCCTATGGGATCCCCGAACCAGTACGCCCACCCAGCAGAGGGCAGGGCTGGGACATTCAACGGGGTGAGGCCAAGGGCAGGGGTTACAGATGTTCACCAGGGGATGACGAAGGGCATGGGCCAGCTGCCTCGGGGGCACCAGACCTGCCTCGGGGTACCAGACAGTTGGCACTGCCCAGTGGGTGGGTTCGGTGGGTGTTGAGGCCTGGAAGGTGTGTCTGGGATGGTGAGGGGGTACAGGCTATGGCTGGCTGAGTGGTGCCGGGGTTTGGGGGAGGAAGCTGGTGTTTCCTGCCTCTGCAGGGAGGTTCACCTTGCTTTGTCCCCTCAACAAAGCCAGGCTCTCGTGACAACGGGTCACAACCTGGACAGATCTGAGGAGCTGAACACCTCCAGCTTCCACAGGGCTCAGCCAGGACCTGGGCCCAACAGCATTCCCTCCCAGATGGGGCCACCACGCCACATCAGCACGACGAGACCTCCTCCCAGGGTGCCCCCCCCAGCCCAGGGTCCAGGCCCCAGGCCAACACCCAGAGGGGCTGGCTTTGTTCACAGCCCCTCTCCAAACCCTGCCCCCACCCCAAGCGGCCCCGCGGTCCCCTCCAGGGCAGGGTTTCCAGAATCCACCTGTCCTTAGTGTGTTCACTGCCCCTTGGCAGCCCCGAATTTTTGTACCTGTTTCCTGTCCCCTCCTTGTGTCCAGGTAGCATCCCCAGGGCCCTCGCCTCCAGCACAAATTCCAGCCTGCAGAAACCTTGTCAGCTCAGGGGGCCACGGTGCAAGGCACGCCCAGGGGAGGGAAGCTGGGGCTGCCCTGGGGTGCCTTTCTGTGCAGCTGGAGCAGTTCCATATCCTATGAAGAAACTGGTACAGAACAGCACTCCTCTGAAAAATTAGCAACCTCATCTACACAGAGACTGGACTGGAGAAGCCCCAGCAGGTGCAGCAATCCCAGAAGTGAGAGTCAGAGCTGTGGACGCCACCCTTGCTGTGGCCCAAGCAGTGAACTGGGGCCGCTAACCCCCAGGAAGGGTGAAAAGCCCCAACACCCAGAAGATGAGACCCTAGAGCTTCCCTGGCCACCCCAGCAGCCCTCCCCATCCCAGGAAGCAGACAGTTGCATGGGAAAAGCAAGGACGGCACTCAGCCAGACAGGCAAACAACTGTGGCAAACCAGTGCCAGCAGACAAAACCCAGAAACACAGAGCAAATGAAATGGTAAAAATCACTGTCAACCCCCAAGGTTATCTGCGCAGAAAGGGTCCATACAGTGGGGACGGCCGTCCTGAGGCCCGCTGGCCGGGCTGGCCCTTGGCTGGCGTCTGGGAACTGGGATTTCCGAGGGGCTCCCTGAACCCCGCCTCACTGGGCCTGTGCTATTTGTACAAGGTGGTTTAGGCAGAACACTCACATCCCTGCTGAGAGTCTGGAATTGTAGCGCAGCCCAGGCAGAAGCTGCTCACGTGACCAGCCCCCGGGTACATCACCAGGCAGGGCATCCCCAACATCGCACACGCAGAGTCCCAGCTGCTTGCAGGGGAGTGAGGCGCATCCTGCGTGACCCCCACCCCAGGAGAGGCCTCCAAAGCTGAGCATGGTGCCCCTGGACTCGGCCCCAGGAACCTTTCCCTTGGCCGATTTTGCTCAGTGTCCTCCCTGTGGGAAATCACAGCCGTGACTACCGTGACCTGCATGGCCTCTGTCCTCCTGGAGAATCGCCGCCCTGGGTGGTCTTGGGGACCCCAACTCAGTATCACATTAGAGTTCTTACCCATTAAAAAGAATGCTTAGTGAGAACACTGGGCAAAGGGCAGAACAGACATGCCTGGGGGCCTGTGCTGAGGCACTCGCCCAGTGCACCCCACCAGGAGCAGCCTGGGAACCAGCCCAGGGAACGAGGCGCCAGCACCTGGGGAAGCCTGGGGACCCTGCCTCACAGGATTACAAAGGAAAGCTGACCGCCAACTACCAAAACAGAAACAGCAAATCACTGACACAGGAATCTGCCTCTTTATTGACATGCTAAGTAACAAGACGCAGAGGCAGGTCTCATCGCAACCAACCGTGACCACAGAGGACCACAGAGGAGTGATGACAGGGAGCTGTGCTTCTAAGCAACTGCAGGAGGGAAGCGCAGTCGGAACAGCCTGCTGGCTTCTAGTGGTCAAATGTGCCACTCACACAATGGCATCTGCTGAAAAAGCTGCAAAATGTCATTTATAGGTTAGTGAACACATCCGTCTCACAGACCCCAACTAACCTGAGAATTCCAGAGGAAGACCACAGAATGACAGAAGGGAGATCAGAAACAGAAGAAAACATGCCAGAGCTAACCCAAGTCTGCAGAAAAGCCCCCACCGTGAGGAATCCCAGCTGGGATGATCTGGTGTGCTCCCTGGGGGCAGTGGCCACAGGCTCCTCTGACAATACGACAAAGGGACACACACTGCAGGGCAGGGAAAACACAGAACTTTATTTCAACAGTCATTAGGTTCCACCACACAACAGGGACACCATGGGATTGTTTTTTCATTTAATAAATACAAATGAATAAAAATACTTTATTTTGTCAAGAGACTGCCTCTCCTCCCTCTCCCGATCTCACAGAAGCCTCCAGGCAATTGTGTGCCCCTCCAGGGCCTGCACCCACAGACCCCGTCTACTTGCACAAATGACTCTTCTTTACAGAGAGGGCTCCATCTCATTTGCCTGCAAATACAACATAGGTATAATACCGCTCCTTTCCCCCATCTCCTTCCAAATACGAGTTCTTGCCCTGCGTTCCATTTTTTTTTTTTTTTTTTTTGAGACAGAGTCTCACTCTGTTGCCCAGGCTGGAGTGCAGTGGCGTGATCTCAGCTCACTGCAAGCTCCGCCTCCTGGGTTCACGCCATTCTCCTGCCTCAGTCTTCAGAGTAGCTGGGACTACAGGCGCCCGCCACCACGCCCGGCTAATTTTTTGTATTTTTAGTGGAGACAGGGTTTCACTGTTAGCCAGGATGGTCGCGATCTCCTGACCTCATGATCCGCCCGCCTCAGTCTCCCAAAGTGCTGGGATTGCAGGCGTGAGCCACAGCACCCAGCCTCCAAATTTTAAATGAGCCCCTTGTGAGAAGGAAAAGAATCTGCTGTCCACAGAAGCCAGGCGTGGAGCTACTTCAACCAGAAACTGTCACCCATGACACTCTGTGTGGGTTCAGTCACACAGACCACGATCCATTATGGAAGGGAGGGAGAAAAGGATCACATCAAATCTACTGTATGCCTCATAGACCATCCCTTATTTCAAAAATAGAAATTCCTATTTAAATGCCGCCCGTGTGCGACAGGCCTGATATTTGCTTCTGCATGTGGCAGATCTGTTATTGCTTACACTGTGGCCTCCTGGCCTGTGCTGCTCAGCTGGCCCTGTTAGAGAACATGGGAACCACATCAAAATCCTAAGTCACAAAACAAGGGCTCTGTCCCCAGCCTGGGCCCAGGGGCCCACATGCCCACCTCCACAGCCCAGTCAAGTGTGGGGATAAGGCACTCCTCTGTGCTCTGAGCTAAGATATGGTAGAGTCCCTTCTGAATTTTGAGTTGCAAAGAATGATTTTGTGCTAATAAATTCCCAGTGCATCCAAAATGTACAAAAACCCTAGAATTTCCAGTTTTTAGATTGAAAAAAAAAAATTTTTTCTGTAGATCCAGAAGAAACTTTCATTGAAACTTTAAAGACCTCACCTGCACCTGCTCTAGTAATGCACTAGTTACTAATATACAAACGTAAATCTTTGATGAGTATGGTCGGGAAAAAACTGTCTGTCCTTGTGATCAGCAATAAATTTCTTTTTTCTTTTTGAGACTGAGTCTCGCTCTGTTGCCCAGGCTGGAGTGCAGTGGCGGGACTTCAGCTCACTGCTACCTCTGCCTCCCGGGTTCAAGCGATTCTCCTGCCTCAGCCTCCTGAGTAGCTGAGACTACAGGCGTGCACCACCACGCCCAGCTAATTTTTTGTAATTTTAGCAGACATGGGGTTTCACTGTATTAGCCAGGATGGTCTCAATTTCCTGACCTTGTGATCTACCTGCCTTGGCCTCCCAAAGAGCTGGGATTACAGGCACGAACCACCGCACCTGGCCAATCAGCAATAAATTTCTTTTCTATTTACCCCATTTCTTATTAATTCACACTTCAAAAAAGCATTTCCTGGAAGTATTTCTAAGTGTGATGGTTTGTAATATATAACAAATGAAAAGATGTAATTAGATTATAAGAAAAGCATCTGCCTGTAAAATATGAAGGAAGAAAGGAAGTAATGGACTCCTCATGGGGCCCACAGGGAACCAGGAAGGACCCAGAAAGGGTGCCGGGCCCTTCCCCTGTGCTGCAGCTACAGGGCCCCATTTCTTCAGAAGGAGCGTTCTGGGTATTCCATCGTCCCCTGGAAGTCTGGCAGGTACAACCCCCTCAACACTCCAGGGAGGGAGGGAATCCACAGGAAGCCATGAACTGCTGGTTTCAGCGGGGAGAGGTAGTGCTGACAGCTCTGATAATCTACCTGAAGCCCTTTGTGAGGAATACTGTAAAACTGCAGTAAGCTGTCAATATTCGACATTAAGTCATCATTTCAGAAGAGAAGCCTGTTTGAAGTAGGAAAGGTTTGAAAAAAAAAAAAGATGCCATGGTTCTTGCAAGTCTGCCTTGTTTGGTACCAGCACAGAGCATCACTGTCACTAAGTGTGCCGGGGGAGAATGCTGAGCTGCTTGGCGGTGTGTGCGCGCCTGTGCGAGGCCAGGTCTCACAGTCCCAGAGACTTCTGGACGATCTGCTTGGCAATCTTATAGAACTGCTCCCGGTCATCGCGCCACATTTTGGACGCATCCACGTTAGCTCCACTTTCGTCATTGGGCTCTGAAAGAAAAGGGAACACCCTCCATGTAAAAGGGAGTCTTATACGTAAGCAGCCTGGCAAGGTCTCCCATTTATTTAAAACACTGGCGGGGGCTTTCAAGAGCTGTGTCCCAGAAACAAAGAACCTGAGAACTGCATGGGGTCGGCCCCACCTCTAGAGTGCTGGCCACGCAGGTCTCAACGAAAGCCACTCTCATGACTCCTGCGTTCTGAGTGTCTGAAGACACCAGGACAAGTTGTCATCTGTCTTGCTGTGGAACATGCGACAACCACCTAAGCACAGGCCCACACGGCCTCCCACAGCAGCCTCCTGGGCCACTGCACTTCTGGCACCCGGACAAGCTACACGGGGACCACCTGCTGCTTATTTCACCTTTCTCAAGACACTCTGCAGTGTGGCTTCTCTCTCACAGAGCGCCCTCTCAGCAAAACTGCCCCTCACAGCTCCTACCAAGACAATCCCAAGCAAATGTGCAGCCTAAGGTAGACACCTGACCCCAGGATACCTGACCCACCCCCTAGCCAGCGGCACTGGCAGTCACTGCAGAACTGCAGTTAGGAGGCACGGAGGGAGTAGCCAGGGCCTGCCGGAAGGCAGAACGGAGAGAGACCACCAGAACTGGATGACATGTGCTGAGGCAGCAGCTGTGCAGTGCGGCGGTGGCGCTGCTCAGAATGCACGTGGGGACCGGTTCAGAGCAGAGTTGATGAGGATAAAACCCACAGCTGACATCTGAGGACAGCCTGAGCCACTGCCTCCCTCCCAATCTCCAATCCCCTGGCCTGGCTCCCTCCACTCAGCACATGAAGAGGGTTCACGCCTCAGCCCTCTCAGGATACACACTCGCGTCACAGGCCCTGACCTCACATCCCTCTAGACCCCACTCCACGGCACCCAAAGGCTCTGCAGAGAATAGCTGAGTGGCCTCACTCTGGCATCGACCCCTGGCCCTCTGCTGGGTCTGCTCTTTCCTTTCGGACTTGCCGCCTTCCTTTCCCACACCCTTCCTCCTGACTGCCCTGGAAGACCCCTCCCTGCTATGCTGTCACCCTCCGTCCTACTCCATCACCTACTGCCTCATCCAGAAATGACCCCACATCTTCACTCTCGTGTCTGACCCCCTTTTGTGGATGGAGGCCCCTTGTCCCACACACCTCAAACTATTCCCCAAATCCTGCTGTCTCCTGAACCCAGAGCAGCACCTCTGGTAGACAAAGAACCAGGAGTCCCAGAGCCTGTACCTTCAAGGTCTCCCAAACCCACCCCTTCCTCTTAGCCCTGGGACCACTCAGCCCTTCTCTTTTCTCTCCAGGCTACTGCAACACCACGATGTCTCTGTTTGTCTTCCATCACACTATTGGTTACTGCTGCAAGGATGGCCCTTCGAAGGCACAGCTCACAGGACATCACACCCCCAACTCCAATCCCCAGGGTCTGCTGGGGCTCCTCTCCCTGCAGCCTTGGCTCCAGCCAAAATGAGCTGGCAGTGCCCCCATCAAGTCAGCCACCTCCTGCCTCTGGGCCTCAGCCCAGGCTGCTTCCTTTGCCCCAAAACCCCATTCCCTCCCTCCTACCTCATCAACACCTACATGTCCTAAACACACCCCAGACAGCCCCACCAGGAAGTGGCCCGAGAGTCCCTGCATGTGTCTGATCTTAGGGTGCATCCCACTGGCCTCTAACTGCTGGTAGGCTTGGACAGTTCCCTAGAACGTAGGAACAAAGAGTTGGGGTCTTTGTCACACGAAGCTTTACACCCCCAGTCCAGTGTGTGGCATGTAGTGGGTCCTCAATAAACACCTACTGAGGGAAAAAGACGATCAAGGACCAGAGACCAGTTAATTATGGCCGACAATACAATATACAACCCCAGGCTATGCTAGAAGGTATGCTTACAATTGGAAAAGTGTAGGCAGATAACATTAAATGGCAATAGCATGTGTAAACTAACTGCAAATGAGGAAAAGGACATTCTAAAGACAGGATGACGCAAGGCTGGAGAACACCTGCAGCCTGGGTGTCCACGGCAGCTCCTGCCAGGAGGCTCGGGCCTTACCTGCCAGCATGCTCACCACCGACAGCAGGATCTTCTCCACACTCTGCACAGGACTCCACCGCTCCGCGCTGCTCTCGTAGCCCATGGGGTCATCGCCTGGCGCGTGGAGGATGGAAATGCAGACTCTCCCATCAGGGTAGACTGCAAGGGTCAGAGGCAGCCAAGTGAGCCCAGGAATGGTGCCCGAGGCATCGCCGCGCTTGGGCAGGCTCCACAGATAATGAGAACAAAGACTGCAGACACAGCAACCAAGCTGTTTGCACAGCTGGGGCATAGCCTGGGGCCCTGAGTGTCACGCTTCATGTCTGCAGGAATCCCGGTGGGGCCTGCTCACTCACTGACAGGCTCCAGGCTGACCCAGCCAGTTCTAATCAGCTGTCGTAGTCTAATCCACTTTCATATGAATTTTTTTCAAGCAATATATACAAAAAGACTAAATGAAAGGTTATCTGGCAAATATTTTATCAAAATATCTAATGTGATTAGGATTATTTACAATACTTTTCAGAGCTAGTTCCTTAGCTATTTCTAATTCTATCATTAAATCCCTGAACCGGTCTGTGTAAAATATATGTTCACATGGCTATGATAAAGGCAACTGGAATTATGTAAATATCTACAAAAAGAAAGGCACCAGGATTTCTCTTGGTAGCTTACTCTAATAATAAGTAAATTATCATCAGTACAACCTGGAATGTAGGTCAATGTGTCTAAATCAAATCCCTTTCCACCAAATATCATCATTAAAAAGATACACAAGGTCTGATAAAGAGAAATAAATTTTCAATTCACAGCATTTAATCAGTCCTCTTTTACATAAAATTGGGAGGAATTCTCAGATGGCTCCATATATACTCAGATATGCAGTAATCCATCTAGATAGACTCAACTGTAAAATTATAAAGCCATTAAAGTTATAATAATAGAAATAGCAATTTTAAAATACATTTATTTAACTCACCTGAGTTAATAAGCTCTGAATTTCATGAAAATTCACAAATGTGAATGGCGATCACTTACCTTCAAACAGTCTTGTCTTTCATACCTGGTCCTATGTGTTTCCACTCATCCATTGTTTCAGTGGTGAACGTTCAGTGGTGAACGCTCTACTATCCAGGAACTGAACCACAACTTCTCATTCAAGGAGAGTGGAAGAAACTAGATGCATACTTGCCCTGGACATCAGGCTGTCCACCTAAGATCCACATCCACAAAATCAGGAAGTTTCCCACTTCTGTGTTGCCTTCTCCAGGAGTTGGTCCCATAGGGTGACACTGCATCCACAGAAGCATCAAAAGCACCTGTGTCCCTGCCACAGCCCCTCCTTCACCAAGTCCCAGCAGTGCCATGTCCTAAACCTCTCGTGGATCCACACACATCTCTTTATCTTTAGTGCCCACATTTAGTTCCCAAGTTGCCGGTGTCTCTACCCTAGACCACTACAGCCGAGGGCCTGCCTGGCTTCCTCCCACCTGTCCTTTGCACTGTACCCAGAGCGAGCCGTCAGAGATCATTCTGGTCATGCCACTCCCTTGGAGTCTTTCAATGGAGTTCCGCCACTCCCAGGAGAAAACATCAAAACCTTCAGTATTGACCAAAAGGCCTGAGGTAGTTTGGCCCCGGCCTTCCTCTCCCGTCACTTCCTGCGCTGGGCCTTTGCACATGTGAAGGGCCCCTCCTCCCCGAATCACTCAGGTAACTCCTGCTTCACTCCCTACAGATGGTCCATCCAACCACCACCTCTGCAAGGTGCTGCCCAGAACTTCCTGATGTGACTTTGCATTTTGTTTGTGTGATTCTCCTATCAATGTCCATCCCTGTCCTTGGAATATAAGCTCCTGAAGGTCTGCTATTATTTGCTCACCACTGTATACCAGCAACTTTCAGTACGTGTGTTGAATTGTTTTTAAAGTATTTATTGACTAGTTTTTATGATATTGGTAGACCTATAGTTCTCAAAGATAATTTTTAAAAAATCAAAATAATCCAATTACAGTAAGGCAAAAATTTATATTATCTGAGCATTAAAAATAATTACCAGAACATTAAAAATAATAATCAGACCACCTGTAGTACATAGTCACATAAGGTAATCAGTTTATTGGTCATATTTGTCACTAATGCCATGTCACAGGTATTGTTCTGAATAATATATTTCTCCTCAATACAATCTTAGTATTTTAATTACCTACAATCCTCTTCATAGTTGCATTTTATAGCTAACCAATTTGAAACTACTTCAATTACTCTTACCTATCAATTGTATTTTTTAACTTTTTATTATGGAGAATTCCAAAAACACACTCAAGTAGACAGCGTGTGATGAACCTCCATGTTATCATCTAACTCAGGCGCATGGCCAGTCTCCCTGAAAGAAGGCACGCTTCTGAGCATCCCCTGTGCACACAAGACTGAAGCAGCTTTGAGATAAGAAAAGAAGTACCAAATGGTCTCTCTCAGGCAGCCGCCCACTACCTATGTGTACCAATATCTGCAGTAAATGAGAAGTCCTAAACGAGGGTTAGGACAGCAAGTCTATTGGCAGACGGCATTTCCACCAGTGAAGTGGCCGGGGGTGGGGGGGTAGTCCTGAAAACCCCTATGGCAAAGATGTAAAAGGAAGAATGTAAAAGGAAAAAATAAAAACTACAGCTGTTCAGAAATTCCAATTCCTACTACTGGACACATTTTCAAATAAGCTACAGTACAATTCACTTAAATGACCTTATTTTTTTCCTCCTTTTAAAATTAATATATATTAATTTTAGGGCAAAAAAAGATTTACAAAAAGGAAAAAAAATTTCAATCTGAAAAAAGAATCACTTTTAACATTTTTGTGCTTACTTTTCCAGTTATATATACATTTACATGTGAATTTCTTTTTCAAGAGGAAATTATAACAGTGCTACTGCTTTTCCCAGTCAATATAACACAAATACTACTTTGTATCATTGATTCTTCTTTTAGATCATTTAAAAAATCTACATCACATTCTAACATATATGATATAGTTTGGGTGTGTCCCCACCCAAATCTCATCTTGAATTGTAGCTCCCATAATTCCCACATGTCATGGGAGGGACCCAGTGGGAAGTACTGAATCATGGAGGCACATCTTTCCCGTGCTGTTCTCGTGATAGTGTACAAGTCTCACGAGATCTGATGGTTCCGTAAAGGGCAGTTCCCCTGCACACACTCTCTTGCCTGCCGCCACTAAGATGTGCCTTTGCTTCTCCTTTGCCTTCTGCCATGATTGTGAGGTCTCCCCAGCCATGTGGAACTGTGAGTCCATTAAATCTCTTTCCTTTATAAATTACCCAGACTTGAATATGTCTTTATTAGCAGCGTGACAACAGACTAATACAATATATAACTTAATTTATTCTTGTGTTAAAAACCCAGGTTAAGTCAAAATTTTCACCATTACAAATAACACTATGACAAAGATTAGCATAACCCCTTCTGAGCACACACCCATGTGTAAAACTTCCTCCCCAGTGAAGTAGGGTGGCTGGGTCAAATGGCATCCGGTTTTAGGTGCCTGTTGTCTTTTATCTATATTAAACTGACCTTCAAAATTGAAATCATGTGCTTAATACCACCATGCTTACTTGGCTGAATTTCAAAACATAAGAAGTGTTTTCTAAAGATCTACATCATAGACATATAGAATATACCACATTTCAGGTGGCTGATAATATTATCTCCGTACCTATCCTGGTACCACAAAAACTACTTCCAAAAGCACTTACTGTTGGGATGAAACATCTCACAGGTAAATCTCATCTTTGGGGGACTTAACGGGTAATCAAGTGGGAAACTCAGGATGGCAGGAAAAACACCAAACTCAAAGCAGGTGTCTTCTGGGCCCCTAGAAGATATAAAATACGTAGACTGAACTTCAAAGTACATTTTTCAACGTCGACCACAATTGACAAATGGGTTAAGAACATTTTTACCACTTTAAAAATGCACGTGAGGCCGGGTGCGGTGGCTCACGCCTGTAATCCCAGCACTTTGGAAGGCCGAGACAGGCAGATCATCTGAGGTCAGGAGTTCAAGACCAGCCTGGGCAACATGGTGAAACCCTGTCTCTACTAAAAATACAAAAATTGGCTGGGTGTGGTGGCGCATGACTGTAATCCCAGCTACTTGGGAGGCTGAGGCAGGAGAATCGTCTGAGCCTGGGAGGTGGAGGTTGCAGTGAGCCAAGATCTCGCCACCGCACTCAAGCCTGGGCGACAGAGCGTGACTCCGTCTCAAAAAATAAACAAAAATAAAAATAAATAATAAAAATGCACACAAAAAGATTATCTAAGTAACAATGAATTGGTACTTTCTTTTCAGTGGAAAGCAATGTCCCATTCTCCAGTTTCAATCTGGTCTAAATCTTAGGTACAAGTACAAAGACTGAATTCCAGGCAGTTTTCACATTTATGAAGGTTAAGAGTCAAGCAGCAGAACCTCTTGATAAGAAGGAGATCAGAGAAAAGAACTAATGTCAATGCTCTAAGATCTGGGAGTTTTTTCTGCAGATGTGGTACAATCACATTTTAGGATAAGGGTATGAATTACGGCACAGGGTATAGCAAGATTACATTGTATTTCAACAGATGTGGGGCTAAGAGTTGTATTTCAAAGGTGATTTTTAATTTTTAAACGTGCCCAAGAAGGCATCTTTGCAACCTTCAAGAAGCAGATGAAGAGCACATGTGATCACTGCTGCATGCTCGGTGAAAGGCTAGGCACACAGGCACCACCACTCCAGGCTGCACCTGCAGGCCCATGTGCTGTGCCTCATCCCACTGATGCAACATTGGAGCAACTCCCCGTCATGGGCACAGACACAGGCACTGAGTCTCCCTGGACCTATACTTTCCTCACGTGTAAATGGAAGAAATAGATGAAACCATTTCAGAAATCCTGCTTAAGGTTTAAAACCCAACAAGTATAAATTAACACTATCTTGACCAACAGTTCAAGGCATGATGGCCACAGGAGAGGAAGAGTGTCAGCCACTATGCCTGTACCTTCACACCAGGGACGAACTCCTCTTCTCCTACAAATCACATTAATAAAACACACATTGGAGGAGTTCTAAAAGATCTTGCACCATCTTTCTTTGATAAGGAAGCAGGACTGCTGAATGACAGCGGCAGACAACGAAACAGTGGAAGTTGCACTGGGTGTGACTCATCAGATCAATAAATAGGTCAGTAAACCCGTTCTCCGTCTACGAACTGAAAGAACAAGTCCCTTCCTAAACAGCTCTGCTCCTCTAACAACAAAGGCTAAGGCAGAAAGAACAGTCGTGCAGGGGCCGAGGCCTGGATGAGCAGAGGACAGTCCACACCAGACCTACTGCCTTCAGAAAGAATCCAGGATATGGCACAGGAAAAAAATAATTTAAAAAAATATACGTTTTAAATCTTCAGTTAAAAAATAGATTTCTTAAAAGTAAAAATTTGTTTTAAAAATCTTAAAATTATCTTGGTTCAGTGAAATTAATAACAACAGACTTGGAAATATTTATCTCTATAATTAAAGGAAAAAGACAAAAATCAAAAAGAAACTGAACGAAGAGCTTTAGCTTTCACCTGGAGGCGGCACTCAGGGCTGTCGGCAGCAACAGCAGATGCCAGCACGGCTCATGGCCCTAGCAGGGCTGATCTGCGGGCAACAGTCAGAAGAGAACAAAGCAGTGATTGCTTCATGGAGACAAGATTTTTCAATCTAAAAGACAAATTTTGATTCTGAAAACTGTCTTTGCTACCTTTTCAGAAGAAGATAGCGAATATGGCCACTTTGTTTTGGGGAGCTGGGGTGGGGGGGGGGTACTGTGTGACAGTCCCCAGAGCCTCAGCATGACCAGCACAGGGAACGCCACCGAGGGAGGCACGAGCATGAGCTCTTGCTACTGGTACAACAGCCGCGCTGGAGAGGACAGTGCCCGGATGAGTACCCCCCCCGGCCCACACTGGCACCCAGCGCCCGGCAGCCTGGGGACGCCTCAAGCCTGGGTTACTCTGCTCCCCCTGCAATGGCCTGAACAAACACATTCCTGAAGCCCCGCCTTCTCAACACAGGGTGGGCACACACCATGTATCAGAGTGAGGCGTGGCCACCCCGAGCCTCCTGTCCAGTACAAGAGCTCAGAGCAAACGATAACCACCACCCATTCATTCTCCACACGCCCTCTGATGAAAGGGCACCAAGGATTGTGGTTTTCATTTTACTGTCAAGCAAGGCTGGAAAATCCAAGGATGAAATGACTTAGTCAAGGTCCTAGATCAATTTAGTATTAGAGTTAAGAGAACACAGTTCAAACTGCGAAATCAGAAGTCAGGCACATAAAGATACTATCTTTAAAAGTAACACTGTTCATATGTCAGGAATGCTTGCCAGCACTCAATATTTCTGGCACCTCTGAGTCCAGAATAAGAAAAAATGTCTGGGTAGTGTTTTTGGAATGAGCCAAATGGTATTTGCTCAATACTTTGATAACAGTTCTTTGTTTCTCATAATAGGGCTTTCTTTAAAAAAAATTTTTTTTAATCCACCAGGTCGTTCCTAGCCTCAGAAGCATGACCAAACATTTCCTGAAGTGCGCCCACATCTTAAATATCAAAGTTATTTGCAAATGCTCCGGTTTACTACTGGTTTGAAACTGGGATTTCTTTCTCTTTTCTAGAACGCCTGGCGCCCAGACAGGAGGGCAGATGGGCAGTGGTGTGCAGCAGCATGCCTGACCCCATGGAACATGCCTTCCAGGCAACTCCCGAGCCAGGAGTGGGAGACGCCACAGTGCTGTTTTTGGACAAGTTTTATTGCCATACTCCCAGACAACCTCACTTCTCTTTCACCGAAGATGGCCTCACCTGGGAATCTTCAAAAGAAACAACAACAAGGAGGACACAAATATATCCAAAGCAAATGTAAATTTTTCAAAGCCTGCAAATTATGCTGCCTTATTGATTGAAATCATGACCTAAACTCTTTCGGAGCTGAGCTAAGGACAAGCATTAGATTAAGCATCATAATGACCCTGCACTCTACACAGGAGGCACGCTTGCAACAGCTCAGACTGTTTTGCTGTCTTGTGGGTGAATTAGATACAAAAGCAAATATTGAAAACACCCATGGCCTACTCCTGACTAGCAATTCTCCCTCCTCACAAAGGACAACTGCCTTGTCACTGTCCTCCTCCAGAGTTGTGACCATTCCTCAGCAACAGTGTGGGTCACTTATATGCCAGTGAAAAGCGAAGATCAGCCTCTTCTGTCTTTCCACACTCAACTCAAGGGAGAGATTGTTCTTCTTTGCATTGCCTTTCTAACACTTTTTACTTTCTAGATAAGAGAAGCAGCAGGCAGGTCAGAGTGCCTTATGGAGCACCCAGGGCAAGTGGGTGCCCTGAGCTTCGCCGGCAAGCGGTGTTCCAGGAACTGGTGCGCTCGCCACTTCAGCTGCACGCAGGTGTTGGGAAAGCCGACTGCTTTTGCTGCTGTTCTCTTTATCAAGTTTGTCACAGCACATAGACAAGAAGTCTCCAACGCACATGTGATAAAGAATTAAAATCACAGAGAATGCAAACTCATCCATCAGTATTTAAAACCTGAAGTGGATGACTAAGGGACGATGGCCCTCCAAAAGCTGGAGCCAGCTGAGCTGGAGACGGGAAGGGCAAACTGCTTCATGGGCACCCTCCACTCTGGGGGAAGGATAAGCACCTCCCTTACGCTACAGAATCGACAGAGGGCACCCAGCAGGAAGGGCATGAGGGCTCCCGGCATCTGAGCTTGGGTGCGTCTCCTTCCTTCAGTCCCTGCTCTGCAGTTCAGCAAAAGCTTCTTGCCGATGTTCCCACCCCACTAATGCCCAGGACAGCAGGACCAAGGTGGGCTGCACACACAGCCCCCACACTGGGCACTTTAAAAGCCCTAGGACACTGGCTCTGCTATGCCAGGTTGTGCTTGTGGCTGTGCCAGGCAGTGAGGAGTTAAATAGAAACTGATCCCAATACCCTCGTAGCAAGAGGACGAGGCTGTAAGAAGCCGTGATTTGGGGAAGTGCCTTCCTGCACTTTCCTCCAGCACTTGGTCTCCACCAGGATGACATATTTGACCCTCACCCCCAGAGCAGGGCCCTGGCTCTGGTTTAAACCCAGAGATCCCCTGTGTTTCCTTTCTGTTTTGTGGTGTTCTAAGCACCCCAGGCGATACTCAGGTAGATAACCAATGCTAAGAACTGCTCGGAAGAAAAGGGGGAACATTTCCATTTTATGAAATCATAGTAGGGGCAAATATAGCTTTTGCTCCATATAATTATTTTCATAGTTAAACCTGTCCAAAAGGCATCTACAGCCATACCCTAATTATTTTTTGCAATATAGATGTTTCTTAAAATTTTTAAATCTAATATATTTGAACTATAAAGTGTACTAAATAAGTTCATCAATTATAAGAACTTTATAGTATATTCTAACATAGACAATCACTTTTACAACATAAACTTTGACCTTATTTAACTAGGAAAATAAAAGAATGTTGGAAAATATTCAAATACAGAAGTATATAAAATAAAAAGCAAATACCTCCCTCACTCCCCCTCCCAAAATCACCTCCTTGAGGTAACCAGAGTTAAGTTTGGTTATTGTTCCAGCTTTTCTCTATGTGTGTATAAATTCACATACTCTAATCTACAAAACTGGATTTCTAAAAATTCAAATGTATCATGGCATTGCTGAGAATTTTAAAACACCTAAATAAATGGAGAGACAGTCCATGTTCATGGATTAGAGCACTCAGTACTGATATGATGGCAATATCCCTCAAACTTATCTAAAGATTCAATGTAGTCTCAATCAAAATCCCACCAGGCATTTTGTAGAAATTGACAAGCTGACCCTAAAATGTAATGGAAATGCAATGGCCTAGTAAACAATCTTGAAAAAGAACAAAGTTGGCGGACTTAAATTTCCCAATTTTAAAACTTACCATGAAGCTCCAGTAATCAAGACAGTGTAGTAATGGCCTAAGGATAGGCATAGATCAATGGAATGCAATTCAGAGTCCAAAAATAAATCCTTGCATTTATAGTCAACTGATTTTTGACAAAGGTGCCAAAATTATGCAATGGGGAAAGAACTGTCTTTTCAACAAATGGTGCTGAGACAACTGGATAACCACATACAAAAGAATGAAACAGACTCCCACCTAACTCCATACATGACACTAAGTCAATCAAAATAGATCAAAGGCCTAAATGTAAAAGTGAAAAAACACAAAACTTCTACAAGCAAACATAAGAGAAAATCTTTGCAACCTTGGGTTATATACAACACCAAAAGCATGCTCTATATAAGAAAAAAAATGCAAAATCACACTTCATCAAAATTAACAACTTTTTAGTTTCAAAAGACTCTATTAAGAAAACAAAATGGAGAGTTGCAGATTGGAAGAAAATATTTAAAAATCCTATGTCTAATGAAGGACTTGTATCAAAATATATTTTAAAAACTCTTAACGTTCCATCAACAAGAAAACAACCGAATATAAAAATGGGGAAAAGTTCTGAAGTTCACCAAAGAAGATACATGAACGGCCAATAAGCCCATTAAGAGATGCTCAACATCATTAGTCGTCAAGGAAATCCAAGTCAAATCTGTAAGGAGACCCCACTTTACACCCACAAGAACAGCTGTTATCAGACAACAGCAGTGTTGGTGTGGAAGTGGAGAAACTGGAATGCTCATACACTGCTGCTGGGAATGCAAAATGGTGAGCTACTCTAGGAAGATAGTCTGATAGTTTCTTAAAACATTAAACGCAAATTTACTCCACACCCCAGCAATTCCACACCTCTATATCTGGTCTAGAGAAATGAACTCCATGTCCACACAGACAGTGTGACAAGACAAGTGTTTACAGCAGCATTGCTCAAAAGAGCCAAAAAGTAGGAAGCCCAAATGTCCATCAACTGGGGAATGGAAAAGGAAGGAGCTGCTGATACATGGTATAACATGGATGAACTGCAAATACATTCTGCCAAGTACAAGAAGCCAGGCACAGATGATTAGACAGTGTATGATTCCACACATAGGAAAAGTCAGAAAAGGCAAATCTATAGTCAGAGGAAAGAGCAGGGATTGCCTGGGGGTTGGAATGGGAACTGTCTGCACATAGACATAAGAATCTTTTTGGAAATGTTCTAAAACTGGACTGTGGTGATGACTACAAAACTCTAGAAATTTACTAAAACCACTAACTTTTATACTTAATGCAAGTAAAACTTACAGTATGTAAATTATCTCAATAAAGCTGTTTAGGCTGGGTGCCTTGGATCCTGCCTGTAATCCCAGCACTTTGGGAGGCTGAGGCAGAAGGATTGCTTGAGGCCAGGAGTTCGAGACCAGCCTGGGAAACAGAGCAAGACCCCATCTCTACAAAGCATTTTAAAAACTAGCTGGGCGTGGTGGTGTGCACCTGTGGTCCCAGCTACTTGTGGGGCTGAGGTGGGAGGATTGTTTGAGCCTGGGAGTTTGAGGCTGCAGTGAGCTGTGACCAGGCCACTGAACTTCAGCCTGGGTGACAGAGCTAGACCATGTCTCCATAAGAAAGGGAGGGGAGGGGAGGGGAGGGAAGAAAGGAGGGGAGAAAGGAAGAGAGAGAGGAGGGAGGAGAGGAGAGGAAGGAAGGACGGACAGACGGTTCCAGACCTATTATTCTAGAATCCGCCTTTTCCATTTATATTGTGTACATCTTTCCATGCCAGGATGAAAATTCCACCTGAACTGTTTTACAGCTACATGGCATTACTCTATATAGATGCTCCATAAATTATGTGGAACAGTGATGTTTCCTTTTTTATTATTATTACTGCAATGAATGTGGCAATAACTTCTTCATATAGGGATCTTTGTGACACTTTTGTTGAAGAAAATGCTATGGTGAGATTACATACAATACAAATTATAAACACCTATTTTATTATCTCGGGTTTATTTCAGCAAGGCATAATACTGCCAAGAGATGCCCTGTGACAGTCTTCAGTCAACAAGAAACCTGGACATAAAGGGAGGCTGCTGTGCCCCGGACACTGGCCCCCAGTGTGAGAAGGGCTCCTGGTAGAAGCCGCGGCAGCCTGGGAGCCCTCAAGCTGGCTGCCATGAGCCAGCTGGAGAACCTGGGAGCATCCATCCACCAACTGGGCCCCAAACACACCATTCAGTAAAGGAAGGTCCTTCTTATTTCACCACAGCCTCTAGAACCACTGGTCTGGGGAGGTGACAGCAGTCAGGCATGAACCAGACAAGAAGGTCACCAAGCCAGCTGATTTGGGAATGCTGGGGCAGGACACAGAGGACAGCAAGCGCCAAGGGACTCCACGCCTTGTCCGGCCACTGGGGATGAACAGCTGTCTAGGACTCCTTCTGTCCCACATAAGTGCATCAATGAAAGAGGGCACCCACCCTCTCTGCAGCTACACCCCCGTCACCGTGGCTTAGTGGCAATGGGGTCACGGGCCATGGACCCTAGAGCTGGGCAAGACCTGTAACCATCTGTCTAGAAGATGCTGATAAACCTCTCTGTTTTGATCCAAATAAGTCAAAGAGAGGCAAAGTGACTGGGCCAAGAGCAGCAGGCCATGCTAGCACCCACAGCCACGGTGGCCACATCCCCTGGTGTGCCGCCATCCCAGCCACGCTCGATTTGATTGCAGGCTCAGACTCCACCATGAGCGTGGCAGGGTCAGCAGAGTTATTCCCGGTGTTTAAAGACACAGCCTGCGGACTCTCATTATTTAGTCCTCTCATTCACTAATCTGTTCTATTCTCCATCCTAATCCCTCAACCCTGGTCTTCCAAGGTAAAGATTTCAGTGCATCTTTGACATGTCTGTATCTTCAGACAAGGGCCCTAACATATCAAAGGCACTTAGTGTTTGTTGCTTAGATATCTAAAATGACATTTTCTTCACTGGCCCTTAAGGCAAGCACAACAGCAAAAACCAACAGCCGTTCGACTTCTGTGAGGCAAGCACGGGTTTTAGAAATACTAGGGTAGAGAGGCGGCCCTGGAAGCCATCAAAGAATAAAGAGAAAAAGAAGAAACTTATCACCAAGGAGCAAAGACTTGGCCAGATGTCTGCCAAAATAGCAGGGTGAGACAAATCGATGGGAGGACAGTTAATTCCCTAATAGGCATTTTAAGTGCACTTGTAAACGGCCTCTTGTTTGTGAAGGGTCTGGAACAGGACCAAAACCCACAAACTCACTAGGATCTTCAAGCAGGGGAATTCCAAACTAATGCAAAAAGCCTTGTTCAAACACAGAAGTGCTCTACCTAAAAATAGTTCTAATTACTTTTTAAGACAGGTTTTCAAAATATTGGTTTAATTTTACACTGTTTATTTAAAATTGGTAATAGTTACCCTAATCGATTTTTAACAATGAACATTTTTTTAAAACCACACTGGACGGCTCAACTGTTCCTTTAATGAGCTTCCAAATAGGCCTACGGAGGAGCCAACACCCCACAAATAACTGCAGACACGACAGGCGCCTTCAACCTCTACACACAGACAGGCCTCCCGCCACTCTGGGCCCCTGCAGCAGGCGTGCTGCCCCGCTGGCATGAGTGCAGGTGCGCCTGCATTAACACATGAAACAAGCAGGTTACACATCAGTTCATGTATATGATCTCCTGCTTCTACAGAAATAAAAAGAGCTGCCCCGATACAAGTATACAGCCGCACAGTCCACTAATGAGGACAGCCCAGACTGTGGGACTCGCCATCCATCTCATAACTGCCTTGGGGGCCACATTACACACAAACACAGATTCCAGAAACCTTCAGACACCGAAAAAACATGTGCCATAGGCCCAAGCAATTAGGATATTACAAATGATCAGGAAATGGCAGGCGTGCTGTACCATCTGAATAGCGTTTGATGATTTTTTAAAAACATTTTGTTTATCCAAAATACTAATTTTCATATCAATTTAACCTCCACAGACAACACTTAGCTGCAATCTGTTTCTCAGACCAACCCATAGAGCATTAAGAATTAATGTGATCCAAGCAACTGGCGAATTCCAAAAGCATCATGAAGCTTAAGATCACTTCAAGCCAGAGCCCACACTTGTTTCACAGCCCTCACTTTTCCGGTCCTTGCCCTCTAGAGCACTTCTCAATGCAACAAAATCCAACCCAAGACCTTGCTGCAAATTAAAAGACCTCACTAATGAGATAACAAAGACTGGGCTTGGCGCGGTGGCTCACACCTGTTATCCCAGCACTCTGGGAGGCCAAGGCAGGCGGAACACCTGAGGTCAGAAGTTCGAGACCAGCCTGGCCAACATGGGGAAACCCTGTCTCTACTAAAAATACAAAAATTAGCCAGGCACGGTGGTGGGTACCTGTAATCCCAGCTACTAGGGAGGCTGAGGCAGGAGAATCGCTTGAACCCAAGGGGCAGGAGTTGCAGTGAGCCAAGGTTGTGCCACCGCACTCCAGCCTGGGCAACAAGGGCGAAACTCCATCTCAAAAAAAAAAAAGAAAGAAAGAAAAAGAAAAGAAAGAAAACAGAGACTGATTACAAATTTCAACTTCCTAAATTTTATTTAACCTCACTTTGCTGAAAATACACTAAGAATGGCCAAAAATTGCACATCTAAGGTAGAAAGAAGAAAAAGCAAAGTGAGTCAAGGCCATAGAACACTCTAAAATCAGGGGTCCATGTGTTTCTCTTTCCAAGCAACGTCACCCTAAGTTAAATGCCACGAATCCCAGAACCACACTGCTCACTTACTAAGCCATGTCTTGGGTCGGAAAGAACACAAGGCCAACAAGTCCAGACAAGGCAACAGAAAAAGGAGATGCAGCACACGAAGATACGAACTGGGAGGAAAGGAGAAGAAAAAGAAGTCCTGGCCCAAAGGCAGGGCAGGCAAGGCTGCGCTAACATGCCTGGTGTGGTCAGACACATCTTTGAGGACCCTTTTCTCGTCAAAATTTCACACCTGAAGGGGCTACTTCTGGAAGCCAAAGCCACCTACGCCATTTGAGGTTATTTTAACCACGATCATACAACATTCCAAAATTACCACCTTAAAACTCTCAAATATATAATACATATATTACATAATTATAACTAAACCTTTGACTGGCTCTAAGGAAACACTCATTTCTTTTGGATCAATGCTCAGGTTCTCTGCTTTCAGACCAGCAGCCTAGACGAGAGCTGGGCATTACTGGAGAACTCAGTCTTTTTTCCAGCTGATGCTTTTGGACACAGTCACACTGCTGATGTGATTCTTACATCTGACTTCCAGCAAAGCCCTAAAAACTAGTACACCTAAAATTAACTTACATGATCAATGCCTCCCATTCAAAAAAGTTCTCTTCATTCATGGGGCCTGTAGGGTGAGAAAAAATTTCACAACATTTTAACTTTGAAGGAACTTTGGCAATTAAAAGTAAATTATAAGGAAGTTAACTTTGGTACCTTACCTGCTACAATTCCTTCCGGAGGATTCAGTGTTAATTCTATAAAATTAATAAGTAAAACCATTACCAAACAGAATAAATGTTACATTGTCATTTTAACAAAACACCTTTACAAAATATATAAGCCTATAAACCATAGAATATGCATATTAACAAGTGAAAATTCTGTTTGCCCAAAGTGAATACCTAGTACAATAACGGTTCTGATAACAACTACACAAAGTTTTTTTGTTTTTTTTTTGTTTTTTTTTGAGACGGAGTCTCACTCTATCACCCAGGCTGAAGTGCAGTGGTGTGATCTCAGCTCACTGCAAGCTCCACCTCCCAGGTTCATGCCATTCACCTGCCTCAGCCTCCCAAGTAGCTGGGACTACAGGCGCCCACCACCACGCCCAGCTAATTTTTTGTATTTTTAGTAGAGACGGGGTTTCACCGTGTTAGCCAGGATGGTCTAGATCTCCTGACCTCGTGATCCGCCAGCCTCGGCCTCCCAAAGTGCTGGGATTACAGGCATGAGCCACCGCGCCGGCCCAAATAGTTCTTTATACCAACAAAACATAGACTTTTCTTTTTCTTTTTCTTTTTACAAATGCAAAAGCAAACATAAGGGGTACACTGTCTTTCCAAACTGTTCCTGCTGGTTACTTTGTTGCTTAGTTTTGAGACAGGGTCTCACTCTGGTTGCCCAGGCTGGAGTCCAGTGGGCAACCAGAGTGAGACTGGGGAAATTAATAAAACAGTAAGCAAACATACAGAAAAAAAAAAATCAATGAAACCAAAAGGTGGTTCTTTGAAGAGACAGAAAATTAATAAATCCTTGCCAAATAAATATAAGGTATAAGGACTGAAAAAGAAATAAAACTCATTATTCACAGATGCTATGTCCATATATACAGGAAAGCCCAAAAGAATCTAAAGATAATTAGTAAAAGTGAGTTTGGCACAGTTGCTGAATATGAGGCATATATATATCTTTCTAAAAGATATATAAAAATGCAAACAATCCAGAATAGCCAAGACACTATCTTTAAAAAGAATAAACAGAGGGCCAGGCGCGGTGGCTCACGCCTGTAATCCCAGCACTTTGGGAGGCCGAGGCGGGTGGATCACCTCAGGTCAGGAGTTCGAGACCAGCCTGGCCAACATGGCGAAATCCCATCTCTACCAAAAATAGAAAAATTAGCCGGGCATGGTGGCATGCACCTGTAGTCCCAGCTACTTGGGAGGCTGAGGCAGGAGGATCACTTGAACCCAGGAGGCGGAGGTTGCAGTGAGCCGAGATCGCGCCACTGCACTCCAGCCTGGGTGACAGAGCAAGACTCTGTCTCAAAAAAAAAAAAAAAAAAAAAGAATAAACAGAAAGCTTCATCTATGAGTTACCAAGCCTTCCTTACAGAGCTATGGAAATTAAGGCAACGTAGCACTGGCTCAAAGTTAAATTGAACAATGGGGCACAAGAGAAAGCCCAGAAGCATACCTGTACCAACAGAGACCCTGACTCGAGGGAACACAGAGCTATGGCCCAGAGGCAAAGGGCAGTCTTTTCCATGAATGATGCTCATCTCTAAGACAAAAAAAAATCAAACTTTCCCCATCTCACACCACATATAAAAATCAAAATAGGTAAGAAGAAAAATGGAGGCAGAGTTGAAAAGAGCCACTGTCAGAGTCAACACGAATGATGCTGTGGTCCAAACGCTTGCGTCCCCCCAAAATTCCTATGTTGAATCCTAATGTATGTGGTATTGGGAGGTGGGACCTTTGGGAGGAGATTAGGTCAGGAGGGCAGAACTCTCATGAATGGAGTTAGTGCCTTTATAAGAAGAAACGAGAGATTTGCCTCTGGCCATGTAAGGGCACAAGGAGAAGACAGTCATCTGCAAACCAGGAAGACAGCCCTCACCAGACTTCCCAGCCTCCAGAATTGGGAGCAATAAATGTTTGTTGTTTAAGCTCCCTGGTCTTTGGTATTTTTTTACAGCAGCCTGAACTGACTAAAACAGATGGCTAATAAGCACATGAGAAAATGCTCAACATTGTGAATCATAAGGGTAATGCAAATTAAAACCACAATAAGATACAGCTCAATAGCTTCAGCATTATCAGTATCTTTAGTCACAAAAGAATGGCCAAAATTAAAGACTTAAAGTGCTGGCAAGTTTAGCAAGTAGATCTCTCATGCACCACTGATGGGAATGCAAAATGGTTTGGTTACCCTTTGGGAAAGAAGTTTGACCATTTCCACTAAAATTACATATATATTGACTCTAAGACCCAGCAATTCTACTGGGTCTTATGTTGCCATAGACTTTTGTGTGAATGTTCATAGTAGCTAAATTCGTAATAGCCCCAAACTGGAAACAACCCAAATGTCCATTGATATGGTTTGGCTTTGTGTCCCCACACAAATTTCATCTTGAATTGTAATCTCCAGGTGTTGAGGGAGGAACCTAGTGGAAGGTGACTGGATCATGGGGGCAATTTCCTCCATGCTGTTCTCATGACAGTGAGTTCTCATGAGATCTGGTGGTTTTATAAGTGTTCGAAAGTTCCTCCTTCACTCTTCTTTCTTGCCACCTTGTGAAGAAGGTGCTTGCTTCCCCTTCGGCTTCTGTCATGATAAGTTTCCTGAGGCCTCCCTAGCCATGTGGAACTGTGAGTCAATTAAACCTCTTTCCTTTATAAATTATCCAGTCTCAGGGAAGTTCTTATAGGAGTGTGAAAACAGATGAATACAGTAAATTGGTACCAGGGGTACTGCTATAAAGATAACCTGAAAATGTGGAAGCAACTTCAGAACTGGGTAGTAGGCAGAGGTTGGAACAGTTTGAAGGGCTTAGAAGAAGGAAGATGTGGGAAAGTCTGGAACTTCCTAGAGACTTGCTGAATGCTTTTGACCAAAATGCTGATAGTGACATGGACAATGAAGCCCAGGCTGAGGTGGTCTGAAAAAGAGAAGAGGAACTTCTTGGGAACTGGAGCAATGGTCACCCTTGCTATGTTTCAACAAAGAGAATGGTGAGATTTTGCCCCTGCCCTAGAGATCTGTGGAACTTTGAACTTGAGAGAGATGATCTGAAATTGGAACTCGTGTTTAAAAGAAAGCAGGGAATAAAAGTTTGAAAACTTCGCAGCATGACGGTGCAATAAAAAAGAAAAACCCATTTTCTGGAGAGAAATTCAAATAAGTAACAAGGAGCCAAATATTAATCGCCAAGACAATGGGGTAAATGTCTCCAGAGCATGTCAGAGATCTTGGCAGCAGCCCCTCCCATCACAAGCAGGGAGGCCTAGGAGGGAAAAATGGTTTTGTGGGCCAGGCCCAGCCCCGCTGCTACTCTGTGCAGCCTTGGTACTTGGTGCCCTGTGTCCCAGCTGTTCCAGCTCCAGCCATGGCTAAAAAGGGCCAAGGTACAGCTCAGGCTGTTGCTTCAGAGAGTACAAACCCCAAGCCTTGGCAGCTTCCACGTGGTGTTGGGCCTGTGGGTGCAAAGAATTCAATAACTGACGTTTGGGAACCTTCACCTACATTTCAGAGGATGTAGGGAAACGCCTGGATGTCCAGACAGAAATCTGCTGCAGGGGCAGGGCCCTCATGGAGAACATCTGCTAGGGCATTGCAGAAGGGAAATGTGGGGTTGGAGCTCCCAGAGTCCCCACTGGGGCACTGCCTAGTGGAGCTGTGAGAAGAGAACAACCATCCTCCAGACCCCAGAACGGTAGATCCACCAAGAGCTTTGCACTGTGCACCTAGAAAAGCCAAAGACACTCAATGCCCACCATGAAAGTAGCTGAAGGGGGTGGGTGTGGGAGGGCTGTACCCTACAAAGCCACAGGGGCAGAGCTGCCCAAGACCATGAAAGCCACTCCCTGTATCAGTGTGCCCTGGATGTGAGACACGGGGTCACAAAGGAGACCATTTTGAGCTTTAAGATTTAATGACTGCCCAGCCGGATTTCGGACTTGCATGGGGGCCTGTAGCCCTTTGTTTTGGCCAATTTCTTCCATTGGTAATGGGAGTATTTATCCAATGCCTGTATTTCCATTGTATCTTGAAAGTAACTAACTTGCTTTTGATTTTACAGGCTGCTAGGCAGAGGGGACTTACCTTGTCAGAGATGAGACTTTGGACTTGGACTTTTGAGTTAATGACGAAATGAGTTAAGACTTTGGGGGCCTTGCTGGGAAGGCATGATTTGTTTTGAAATGGAATGGTTTTGAAAGGAACATGAGATTTGGGAGGGGTAGGGGGAGAAATGACATGGTTTGGCTTTGTGTCCCTACCCGAATCTCACCTTGACTTGTAATCCCCAAAGTGTTGAGCGAGGAACCTGGTAGGAGGTGACTGGATCATGGGGGCAGTTTCCCTCATGCTGTTCTCGTGATAGCGAGTTCTCAGGAGACATGATGGTTCTATAAGTGTGTGGCAAGTTCTTCCTTGGCTTGCTCTTCTCTCTCCTACCGCCTTGAGAAGAGGTCTGTTTCCCTTTCTGCCATGACTATAAGTTTCCTGAGGCCTCGTCAGTTATGCAGAACTGTGAGTCAACTAAACCTCTTTCCTTTATAATTACCCAGTCTCAGGTAGTATCTTTATGGCAGTATAAGAACGGACTAATGTACCGATTAACCGTTTAATGAACCCACAACCTTGGGTAGAACAAGGCCTACCCAAGGAAAAATTATTTCACTCAAAATACCACTAACACCTGCTGAGAAGCCCTGATCCAGGAAACAGAGGTCCTGAAGAGACCTAAGTGCTGTCACAAGGGTGTGCTGACACCCAGCAGTGAGAGAAGGCAGAGTGGCAAGGAGGGGCCAGCAAGGCAGGCCAAAGGCAAGTGCTGGCCCCAAGGGCCAAGTGCATTAAACATTTCAGGGGTGGGTGGGAACTGAATGTGAATGAGGTCAAGTACCAAGCCGACTAAGACCTTGGATTTCACAAGCCACACCCTGATGTTCTCCCTTTGTGTCTCTTCATGTGGAGTAGATCAGGAGAAATAACCACAGAACCTAATTTGCTAGGCTTCCTACACCCAGTCATCTAAAATCTAGTCCCATTCTTGTGTCTCAAGCCAAACCGCCTAATTATAAGAAAAAAATAACAGATTACGGCAGATAGACTGTAAACTGCTAAGCAGGTGGGGTGCGGGAGAAACACAATGTCAGTGGGCAACTAAGTAGAGGCCTGGCAGCAGAACACACAAAAGCTTTACAAATCACCTTCGTGGGACCATGAAGAAGAGCTCGTACCAAAGAGAGCTGGCTTTATTCTTCATCTGGAGTTCCCCTTTGGCACTCCCCTGCGTGACACCCTCCCTTAGGGAGGGGAAAGGGTGGTCTAAAAACTGCAGCTCCAGACCTGCTCCTGGCAATGCAGGCTCAGCACAGAGACCTGCCCGGGTGTGCGCTGGCCTTCCCGCCAGCTTTGTTATTCAACAGTGGCCTCTACTGGTCAATAAAGAAGTGCAGCAAATGAGTTCAGAGGCTGGAGGGAATGGTTCAGGGCACTTATTTTTTCCATTTTGTTTTTTGCTTCCAAAGCATATACACGCGTACACAAAATAATATACAGTTTCATGTTTACTGATAAGAAACAAGTTCAAAAAAAGAGACGAATCTTGGTATCAGGGAAATTTTCAGAGGCCATTCCTTGCCACTTAAAATAGTGGCTTAACAAATAGCTACCACACAAAGTGAAATATAACCTTTGACCCAGCAATTCCATTTCTAGGAATCCATCCCACAGATAACATTGGTGAAGATAAAAAATGTATACACAGGCTATTCATTTCAGGACTATTTGTAAAAACAAAAAGAAATTAAAAAGAACTTGAGTGTCTATCAACAGAGGACCAGTCAAATTATGATACATATACCAGTGGGGTACTTTGCAGCTATAAATACCTCTACATGCTAGTACAGAACAAACTTCAGGACATATTACATGAAAAAAAAGAAGGTGGAGAAAAGTGTGTGACTAGGGCCTTTAAGAGGTAATTAAAATTAATGTGGTCATTAGGGTGGACCTTAATCCAATCTGACTAATATCCTTTTAAGAAGAGATGAGGACACAGGCATAGAGGACAGAGCCTCAGAAGAAACCAGCCCTGCCCTATCCTTGATCTTGGACTTCCAGCCTCCAGGACTATGAGGAAATACATTTCTGTTGTTTAAGCCGTGCCCAGCCTGTGTGGTAGAGCAGCCCTAGCAAACACAGTGCTGAAACAACTGCACTGCCATTTACAAATAATTTACAAATAAACCTTGGCCTTTATCTCATACCATATGGAAAACTTTGATATGGATCCCAAACCTAAATACAAGAGCTGAAACTATAAAACATCTAGAAGAAATCATAGGAGAAAATCCTACTGCCACCTGATGTTTGGCAGTTATTTCTTAAATATAACACAATAGCAAGAAATATTTTAAAAGTCAATAATTGAATTTCATCGAAATAATAAAAACCCTTCTTTTTTTGTTTTTTTTTTTTTTTGAGACGGAGTCTCGCTCTGTCACCCAGGCTGGAGTGCAGTGGCGTGATCTCGGCTCACTGCAAGCTCCACCTCCCAAGTTCACGCCATTCTCCTGCCTCAGCCTCCTGAGTAGCTGGGACTACAGGGGTCCGCCACCATGCCCAGCTAATTTTTTGTATTTTTAGTAGAGAGGGGGTTTCACCGTGTTAGCCCGGATGGTCTCCATCTCCTGACCTCGTGATCCGCCCACCTCAGCCCACAAAGTGCTGGGATTACAGGCGTGAGCCACTGCGCCCAGCCAAAGAACTAAAACTTAAGAAAATCAACACAATTTTGAAAGAAGCAAAGACTCAAGTCACTTTATCTAAAAAGACATATGGATGGCAAATAAACACGTGAAATGATGCTCAACATCACGAGTCTTATGGAAATGCAAATGAAAACCTCAGTAAGGGCCGGGGGCTGTGGCTCATGCCCGTAAATCCCAGCACTTTGGGAGGCGAGGCAAACTCCTGAGGTCAGGAGTTAGAGACCAGCCTAGCCAACATAGTGAAATCCCGTTTCTACTAAAAATACAAAAATTAGCCAGGTGTGGTGGCACGCGCCTATAGCCCCAGCTACTTGGGAAGCTGAGGCAGGAGAATTACTTGAAGCCAGGAGGCAGATGTTGCAGTGAGCTGAGATCATGCCACTGCACTCCAGCCTGGATGACAGAGAGAGCACCTCAAAAATAAAAAATAAAAAAAAATAAATAAATAAAACAAAACCTCAGTAAGACTGCTATACACCCAATAGAATGGCTAAAATTTTTAAAACTGGAAGGGCGCAGTGGCTCGCAGTTGTAATTCCAACACTTTGGAAGGCCAAGACGGGCAGATTGCTTGGGCCCACGAGTTCGAGACAAGCCTGGGCAACATGGCGAAACCCTATCTCTACTAAAAATACAAAAATTAGCTAAGCGAGGTGGCATGCAACTGTAATCCCAGCTTCTTGGGAGGCTGAGGTGGCAGGATTGCTTGAGCCTAGGAGGCAGAGGCTGCCATGAGCCATGACTACACCACTGCACTCTAGCCCGAGTGACAGAGTGAGAACCTGTCTCAAAAAAAAAAAGAAAGAAAGAAAGAAAAAAGAAAACAAAAAACAACTGGCCACGCGAAGTGTCAGCAAGGAGGTGGGGCAACGGGAACACTTAATACACTGCTAGGGAAATGTGAACTAGAGGAAAACTGGCCGTTTCTTTAAAAATTAAACACACACTTCCCATTATAACCCTGGTTATTTACACAGGAGAAATAAAAGCATATATCCACAGAAAGACATGTACATTTAGGACATGCACACAGGGGGAAGATGGCCATGCGAAGATGGAGGCAGAGATTAGAATTACACTACCTCAAGCAAGAGAATGACAATAAACGCCAAGGATGACCAACAATCACCATTAGCTGGAAGAGGCAAGTAAGGGTTCTCCCCTCGAGCCCTCAAGAGGAAGAATGACCCCATCAACACCTTTATTTTAGATGTCTGGCCTCCAGAACAGTAAAAGAATAAATTTCTGTTGTGCTAAGCCCCCCATGGGCAGCCCACTTCTACCTGGGTCTATCTCTGACACTCCTAGGAAAGGCTGGATGATGAATGAAGACAGAACATCAAGACAAGACAGCAGTTTACAACAATTGAGTTCTTTCCTGGCTCTCCTTTTTTCCTGTTTATGAACCTAGGCAAAATCATCTTGTCTGTTGCTCAATTCCATAAAATCTGTAAAATTAGGGGGCTTGAACAGAATCATAGCCAAGGTCCCACCACCTCTGAATTTCTGCAGTTATATGACTACTCCCAAATACAATAAAGTGTGCATGAACATCTAACCAAATTTATCTAAACCCCTTCTATGTAGAGATTGATTCTGTCAAGTCCACCTTTACACTGGAATGTGCTACCTTAAAATACGTTATGAGGACAAACTAGATGTTAAGATACACACACAAAAAAAACCAGTAAATGATACACAAAAAAAACCCACTAAATTTTATCACATTATTAAGATACAGGAAAAACAAAGTCCCCTCAATAACACACTGTATTCATCTTCTGTCACTGCTGTAACAAATTACCACAAATTTAGTGATTTAAAACAATACTCATTGATGATCTCAGAGTTTCCAAGCGTCAGAAGTCTGGACACAGCATGGGCCAGCTAGTTCTCTGCTCAGAGTCTCACCAGGGCTGCCACTCCAAGTTCATTGAGGTTGCTGACAGAATTCACTTCCACGGGTCTGTTGGTCTGGGATCATTCTCAGCTTCTTGAGGCTGCCCGCCTTCCTTAGGTCATGGCTCCTTCTTCCATCTTCACAGCCAGCCACAGAAGGTAGAGATCTTGTCATATGTTGAATCTCTCTGACCACCCCCATCCTGCCTTCACTGACTGCTTTTGAGCCTTATGTTATTATTGGATCCTTCACGGTAATCCAGAATAATCTCCCACTCTTTAGGTCTGCTGATTACTAACCTGACTTGCATCTCCAAAGTCCCTCCACCGAAGTACTAGAAAGTGCTTGAATAACAAGGGCATGGGAATCTTAGTGAGGTATGTTTAGAGTTCTACCTTCTACACATAGTCCAAAATTTCATGTTAACATGTAAAAACACACAACACACTTCCGTGACAAACCTTCGGAAATCAACCATTATTTAGGTCTTATTACTGCAAACTAATTGACAATATAATTGAAATAACAGATGAAGCTTCTGTCAGGACAATAAAAGGGAGAACATATCTTTGCTAATGCAAATATCCTTAGAAAATGCAAGTTCAACAATGCAAAGACTGGCCTGAAGCAGCAGCCTGAACTTAATTTCCTATGCAGGGGTTTAATGATTTTCTTCTCAATAAAAATGAGAAGGCCGGGCGTGGTGGCTCACGCCTGTAATCCCAGCACTTTGGGAGGCCGAGGCTGGCGGATCACGAGGTCAGGAGATCGAGACCATCCTGGCTAACACGGTGAAACCCCGTCTCTACTAACAATACAAAAATTAGCCGGGCATGGTGGCGCGCGCCTGTAGTCCCAGCTACACGGGAGGCTGAGGCAGGAGAATGGCATGAACCCGGGAGGCGGAGCCTGCAGTGAGTCAAGATTGCGCCACTGCACTCCAGCCTGGGCGACAGAGCAAAACTCCGTCTCAAAAAAAAAAAAAAAAAAAAAAAAAAAGAGAAAATACCTGCTCACAGTCTAGCCTAACCCTAGAAATAGGGCTAAAATAAAACTAAAACAGAGACACAAACACAAACCAGGATACCAAGAAATGGTAGGTGTTCACACATCTGACCCACCAGCCAGGTTTCCCATGAGGACACAGAAGTAATAGTCCCCCACATCCAACCCTCTGTTCGAGTATGAACATTGTCAGAATCAAAATGGAGTCACTTTCGCCAAACCCTGACAACATAGAGGGAGGTCAAGATGAAGACAGAAAAATCAGCCAGGTGTAGGGGCACATGCCTGTAGTCTCAGCTACTCAGGTGGATTAAGTGAAAGGATAGCTTGAGCCCAGGTCAAGGCTTGCAATGAGCTGTGGTTGTGCCACTGCACTCCAACCTGGGTGACAGAGCAAGACCCTGTCTCAAAAAATAAATAAATAAATAATTATTATTTGCCAAAATATGCTTAATTTTTATTGCTAAAAAATGCTAACAATCATATGAGCCTTCAGCAGGTCATAATCTTTTTGCCGGTGCAGTCTTGCCCGGATATTGATGACTGCTGACTGATCAGGGTGGTAGTTGCTGAAGGCAGGAGTGGCTGTGGTAGTTTCTGAAAATAAGACAACAATTAAGTTTGCCACAGGGACTGACTCTTACTTTCACAAAAGATTGCTCTGTAGTCTGTGATGTTGTTTGACAGCACTTTACCCACAGTGGAACTTCAGTCAAAACTGGAGTCAATACCCTCAAACCCTGCGGCTGCTTTATCAACTAAATTTATGGAATAGTCTCAATCTTTTGTCATTTCAACAATGTTCACAGCATTTTCACCAGGAGTAGATTCCATCTCAAGAATCACTTCTTTGCTCATCTGTAAGACTCAACTCCCCATCTGTTCAAGTTTGATCATGAGATTGTAGCAACTGAGTGACATCTTCAGGCTCCACCTCTAATTCCAGTTCCCTTGCCATTTCTACCACACCTGCAGTTGCTTCCTCCCCTTAAAGTCATCCATGAGCATTGAAATCAACTTTTTCAAACGCCTGTTGTTGATATGGTGACCTCCCATGAATCACAGATGTTCTTAATGCCATCTAGAATGATAAATCCTTTCCAGAAGACTTTTGATTTTCTTTGCCCAGATCCATCAAAGAAATCACTTTTCATGGCAGCTATGGCCTTATGAAATGTATTTCTTAAATAAGTCAAAAGTGCTCCCGGATCCATGGGCTGCAGAATTGGTGTTGTGTTAGCAGGCACAAAAACATTTATCTCCTTATACCTCTCCATCAGAGCTCTTGAGTGACCAGGTGCACTGTCAGGAATAGTATTTTGAAGATAATCTTTTTTTCTGAGCAGTAGGTCTCAACAGTGGGCTTATATTCAGTAAACCATGCTGTACACAGATGTGCTGTCATCCAGGTTGTTTTTCCATCTCTAGAGCTCAGAGTAGATTTAGCATAATTTTTAAGGGCCCTAAGATTTTCTGAATGATAAATGAGAACTGGCTTCAACTCAGTCAACTTAAAGTGACCGACATTAGCCCCTAACAAGAGTCGCCCTGTCCTTTGAAGCCAGTCATTGACTTCTCTCTAGCTGTTTACGTTGTATATGGCATCATCTCCTCCCAATACCGTATAAGGCTATTTTACGTACCTTGTAAATCTATTGCTTAATTTAGGAGCCACTTTCATCTTGATCTTAGCTAGATCTTCTGGAGACCTTGCTGCTTCACCTTGTGCTTTTCTGTTATGGAGACAGGTTATTTACTTCAATCTCATGAACCAACCTCTGTTAGCTCCCAATTTTTCTTCTGCAGCTTCCTCACTGCTCTCAGCCTTCATAAAACTGAAGAGTTAGGACCTTGCTCTGGATTAGGCTTTGGCTTAAAGGAATGTTATGGCTGGTTTGATCTTCTATCCAAACCACTAAAACTTTCTCCATATCAGCAGTAAGGCTTTTTCACTTTATCATTCATTGTGTTCAACAGAGCAGCACTTCTAATTTCCTTTAAGAACTTTTCCTTTGCATTCACAACTTGGCTAACAAGAGACCCAGCTTTCAGCCTATCTTGACTTTCAACATTCCTTCCTCACTAAACTTAATCATTTCTAGCTTTTGATTTGAAGTGGGTAGAGTGCAACTCTTCACTTCAACACTTGAGCCCACTGTACAGTTACTATTGGCCTAATTTCAATGTTGTTTTGTCTCAGGGAAGAGAGAGGCCGGGAGAGAGATGGGGAAACAGCCAGTCAGTGAAGCACACACAACATTTATTAGGACTACCATCTTTTATGGGCATAGTTTGTGATGCCCCAAAATAATTACAATAGTAACATCAAAGATTACTGATCATAGATCACAGTAATAGATTAAAATGTAAGAGAGAGACACGAAGCGAGCAAAAATGGTGCCAACAGACTTGCTTCCATGCAGGGTTGCTTGTAAAAAACTTGTAAACTTGTAAAAAATGCAAGATCTGCGAAGTGAAGCTCAATAAAGCAAAGCGCGCGGGAAACTGAGGTGTGCCTTTATGTTCTGCTTTAGCAGACACTAGGTGGCGAGCGTTATTTGAACGTTTACAGGAGGCCCTGTGTATCTGCGGCTGCATATCCATGGATTCGACCAACCAGGAATACAAAATATTTGAAAAAAATAACAATAAAAAATGACGATTTAAAAATACAAGTAAAAAAAATCAGTGTAACTATTTGTGCAGCACTTACATTGCATTAGGTACTATAAGTAACCTTGAGATGATTTAAAAGTTATGAGAGGCTATGCATACATTAAATGCAAATACCACGCCACCTTATAGTAGGGACTTGAGCATCCGAGGATTCTGGTATCTGCAGCGGGGCCTGGAACCAATCCCCTCCAGATACCAAGGGAAGAATGACCATACGTGAGTGAGCCTGTATTTGCAACGTTTTGGTCTGCTTAAGCCAAACATCAACTCTTACTGGGCGGTGTCACCAATAGTTTTACGAAATCAAGCTACATGTATATTCACCACTTATTTTTTTTCTCACATTCATTCTTTTAGCTTAACTTTCTTCCAAAATTATCCTCAATCTAATTACAAAAGCAGCAGCTAACTTTATTAAGGGTTACACATCAGGTATTTTGCTAAGCACTTCACCTGCAGTATCAAGTTTAACCTTTTAAGACAAGGAAACTGCAGAGACAGAGAGAGGAACAAGGTCAAAGAGCTAACAAGCAGAGAGGCCGGGTCTGAACTCAGGCCCTGCTCTTAGCCGGCTACTATCTCGTCTCCATCGGCGACTCAGGCTCCTGGCGCTTTCAACACAATGGTATTCCAAGACTTCTCGCAGCAGTTCTTCCAAGCGGGCATTCGGTGTAAAACGATGGAATGCCGAGTGTTCCTAGGTTCTCATTTCTCCCTTCGCTCTCCTCAGACATTAGAAATATCTAATTTACCGGGTAGGAAAGCACTCAAGAGGTTTCCTCAACACTACCTAGGAGGAGTGACAGGTGGCACTGTTCAAAAACCCTTTTCCTTCATTAGAGGGAAAGCCAAAATCTGACCTTTCAAAGCTCCACCAACGAGCCTTTCCCCTTTTAACGCATACACTTTTCCCTCCTAATTCCGCAGCAGCAAGTCAGGCCTTCTTCCTCAAGCTCTCACTGCACGTTCTCAAGGCTGCCAAGAAAAGAAAAAATAGAAGAGAAAAAAACAAGCCCGCAAAGACTCAACTGTGTGTGCTCTCAACTAACACGGCGCCGGCGCTGCCTTTACTGATGCTGGGAAGGCTTCTCTTCACGACTTCACGCGTGAGAGTGGGCAGCGGGCGCAGGGCGCGGCACTCCGCGGGACCCACAGGGGGGCTCACGGTGGAGGCCCCGGGCCCGGCTCCCCCGCCAGGCTCCCTGCCCCAGCCCCGCCGGACGACGCGGGCCCGGGAGCAGGAACGCGGGACGCTGCTGACGGCCCGGGTCCCCAGACTCACGTTTGTACTCGGCCATCAGCCTCTTGAGCGCGGTCCCCGCCATGGCCCCGCAACAGCTGCGCCGAGCGACCTCGCCTCAGCCGCGCGCGTGCCTCCTGCCCCGACACCGGGGACTGCTTCCGGGCCACCGTCGCGGGCCCAGGAACTCTTCCGGGGCGTGGCGCGTGCGCGATCGCCGAGGCGCGCTGTCCGGGTGGTGGGAGCTCAACCCGCGACCGCGGCTACGATTCTCTTGGCTCCTGCCCTCGCCTTAGTCGCTCTGCGGGGTTGGTTCGGTCCCGGCACTTCCAGAGGCCTCAGGGTCCTGGTCTTGTAGAGACTTCCTGAACGGTGGCGCCTGTTCCAGTGTGTGTGCGCTAACTGCCTGTTCTGTGCCAGCCGCGCGTGGCCGAAGGGCGGGAGGACGGGGGTTGTGGAGGGGAGGATGGAGGTTGGGGAGACAGGGCGGGGACGAGATAAGAGGTCGGGGGGTGGGGAGGATGGTCGCGGGGCGGTCTGGGGCTGGAGACAAGGGGCCTGAGGTGCGGGTACGCACTGAACATTCCAACCGTCCCCAGCCGGCCGGGTTTCAGGTTTGAAAAGGTGGGAAGGTTAGCTGTCCTGGCGCTTTTCCTCCACGTGTTGTGCGGCTCCGCTGGAGTTCGGGTCCAGCACCTTCTACTCCGAGGGAGAGAGCCGCGGGGAGAGCCCTGTTCGGGCCCGCGGCTCGAACTGACCGCCGGCTCTGCCGAGCAGCCTCGACCCCAGGGCACCCCCGGGAGAGAGGGCGCGGCTCAGGTCCCTGCCCGAACCCCTGGGGTGCTGAGAGACTCCCCAGCGCCCCGCGTGGGCTCCCGGCCTCTCCACAGTTGAGGATCCTGTAAGGGGCGAGCCCTTTTTCCCATAATGGCTGTAGTGAGTGGGTGTGCTTTCCCGATTGACCCGCTGTGAGGTGAGCGATTTTAACCCACATCCTTACTGACTTCACAGCACAGTAGGTGCTTCGTGGCTGTCCGGTGCAAGGATGTATATACACACACACCTTTGCAAAAAAAGTTTGCATCTCTTGCCTGGCTGTTTGTTGCAATAATCTATCATTTGTCTTTTCCTTTCCAGCATTGCAGATGATCCCTTGAAAAGAAGTCTGATCACATTCACACTCTGCTCCGCCCATTTCACTCAGTAAAGCTGAAGTCCTGCAGTGCTTTGCTCTGCCTCCGGTCACCCCGCCATACTCCCAGACCCTCCCTCCCTCTCACTCCACTCCAGCTGCCCTGGCCTGGTTCAGAGTCCCTGACTCTTCCCTCCCCGGAAACACTTTCTGGCGGCTCTTGTCCCCGACTCTTCCCACCTGCTCTTTCAGTCTTTGCTCAAATGTTGCCTCTTCAGTGTGGCCTAGGCCGTCACCACCCGGCCTTCACCGCATACCTTTTTCTCTGCAACACCTACTCAACACACCGTACTATAGAACTTACTGGCATGCTATAAATGTATTACCCTTATCTGTTGCCTCTAACCAAAAGCGTGTTCCATGAGAGCCATGGGTCCCTGCCTACTTCTGTCTTGTTTCTGGGGCAGCCTCTGTACCTGGACATCGTATACTCTTAACACGGATTTGTCAAATCAAATGAAATTTAACAATACAAACTTCACAAGTATGCATAGTGTAGGAAAATTCCCCAAAATTCAAAATTTCAGTCTACCTCCATCTTTTCAAATGACCACAGTGCTTTATAAAATGACATGGTCCTTTGAGACTGTTTCAGAGAGTAATTTGTGCAAATGCAATGTGCAAAAAGTCACAGTGGAGGTGTTTCCTCCCCCATTCAAGAGCTGCTCTCTCTCTAATCAGACAGCACCCCACACCCCAAGGCAGTCTGTCCAGTGCTCCTAAAGGAGAGCAGCTCCCCTTTTCCAGTTATGGGAGATGTGGGCAATAAAGCATTACTGTCAATGCCGTGATGTTCACTGCAACATATGCTTGATGTTTTCATAATTTTATCCATCTTTTTCAGACATCTTACTGCAGAACACTGTATGTTTTCCAATTATTATTTTTCAGAAATGTGGTTTACAGCTTCTATCAGGATTAGCTTCAGCTTCAAGTGACAAAAGTCACTTGAAATATGAGTTGCTGAAACAAGATGGCAGTCTCTCCCCTCAACAGGACTGTTACAACACCTTATCTTCAGAGAACCAGGCTCTCTGCAACATTTCAGGGACGTCGTTCAGTACCTTATGTGGAATTCAAGCTTAGCTGGGCATCCTATGTTTTAACTGGCTAACTCGTGGAACTCTCAACTTGGATCAAGTGGTAGTGGAGTCCCAGGGACTCTGAGCAGCCAGTGTGTGATACTGCAGGGCAGCACACCCTGGGGAGGCCAACTGTACAGAATAAAATTAATGCTTTCTATCTTTAGCAACTAAAGTTCTGAAATATAAAAAGGACCTCACAGCTTAACCCATGTTATACGGTGGGGTTTTCCCATGAACATCACGCGTTTCCAGCTGGGCACTCCTGCAGCATGGCTAAGATGACAACTCAAGTTCCCTGGGAGTGGGGGTTCCTGGGATGTGAACCTTTCGGTGCAAAAACTGGAGAAGTTCCAGTTGGGACCCCAGGCATAGATACTAGGATAAATAGGGCCTCTCTCCTCCAGGAGCATCAATTTAACCCAAAGATTCTTGGAGTCAGTTTCACATAAGTAATCTTGTTGAAAATAGTAATCCCAACAGATCTATTTTTCCAAATGCACCATTTGCATAAATCTCAGAAAAAAGACAACTTCAAGAACATACCTTTGCTGGGCACCATGGCTCATGCCTGTAATCCCAACTACTTGGCAGGCTGAGGCACGAGGATCACTTGAGGCCAGGAGTCTGAGATCAGCTTGGGCAACTGATTTATGGTTTGGATTTGTGTCCATGCCCTTCCTCTTCTGCCATGATTATAAGTTTCCTGAGGCCTCCCTAGCCATGCTTCCTGTACAGCCTACAGAACTATGAGTCAATTAAACCTCTTTTCTTTATAAATTACCCAGTCTCAGGTAGTTCTTTATAGTAATGTGAGGATGCACTAATACAGCAATATAGTGAGAGCTCCATCTCTACAAATCTTTTTTAGAAAGACAGGACATCCTGCTGGTTCTGCTGTGAGGTGTTGTGGGTGGAAGTTCAAGCAGCGCTGCCCTAATACATCCACATATGCTCCTGGCCATTATTCTTATCTAACCTACGGTGCCTGGGACACATCCCTTTCCTCATTGATTTTGGCAGCCGCTTCGCCCCAGGCTGCCTAGGGAATCTGGCAGATGTCCCCATCCTGTATTGTGCCTTAATCCGTGCACTCTTCCTGGTGCAAGTGAATCACGTGTTCCATCTCCACAGCTGCCCATCTTTCTTCACCTTGGGTTCATTCAACTGATGGGCTAAAACAGCTCATTTTCAACCTGGGTTTTGTTACACCACTGCACACTGGGAAATTCTTAAAGCCAAATCAATGTCAGTTCAGTTTCAAAGCAGATAGGTAAGTTGTCCATGGCAGAAGGAAAGCTGACTTACATTCAAACACCAGAAAACGAGAGATGTCCTAGACTAACACCCAAGCTCACCTGCCTCTAAAATCCACCCTTTCTTTACATACGAAACCCAGGAGAGGGAGGGTAACATGTCACAGTGATGCCAGCTCAGACAGCTGTCAGCCAGGAGGTCTCTGAGGAGAGGATGCATCCCTCAGCAGGAAGAAGGCTGGACTAGCATTGGTGATGTGCCAGGGGAGGGGAAATGAGCTGCCAGGCGAATACTAACCTTCCAGCGGCTAGCTTTTCAATCAAAGTTTCTCAGTGCAGTGGCTGCCTGGAATGGTCAATTCAAACACTGAATTGTACCAGTATGCCCCAACCTTCAAATGCAGTGTTTAGTAGAAGCCAAGAGACAGAATACCAAACTATATTTACTGTTTACAGTAGTAAAGGACAACAAATAATGTACAAATTGGTGAATAAACACAACAGAGCCAACAAACATCCCACCCGAGCCCATACAGCAAACAGGAAATGAGAACATTTCAGCAAGATTTCAAGCAAGCAAGAGATGATGGGTCATTGTTCAGGTGACTGTAAAAAGGCAGAGAATGGCCACCAAGCAGCAATGGAGCCTCAGGGAAGGACAATAGGCAGAACTATGAAAATGTTTAATTGGTATAGATCCCAAAATATTTCACAGAACTGAAATCACCAGACTAATGCATAAATTCAATACCTATTTGGAAAGCAGCACGGCACAAACCCACGAGAAGAACATGAAGTCATCATTCCATGGGTTCATTTGTAACCACACTTGGAAGTAGCTCTTATACACGACAACATAACTGCAAATTCAGCAATACTTAGTCTTACTTTTTTATGTATAGACCATAATCATTCATCAGAAGCAAATACTAGAAGAAATCTGAGGCCACAACACCATTACCAAATGAGAAATGTGGGAATTTCTTCAATATTAAGAGGGAGAAAAAGGCCAATTTTGGTTGTGCCAATCCTTGCCTGTGTACCAACGCCAGGTACTGAGCAGGGAGTGGGGTGGGAGGGGTGGCAGGGGGGTGGGTCCTGGGCCTCAGACCCCGAGGTTACATGCTTGAGGGCCAGAGAGCACGTGGGGTCAAATTACCAAAAGACTCGGTTATTTTTTAACCTTTGAAGAAGCATTCCAGTATTTTCCCTTCAACTTTTCCATATACTGACAAAGCTTAAATTTGCAATATTTAGCATTTTAATCACCTGTGCCTGTAACAGCAAGTGACAGTCTGTCCTCCCTACCAACCTTGCCCCCAATACCTGTCCAACAGCTGCATCCCCACTGCGGGAAACACCAATTCTCTATGTGACTGGAGTGAGCAGGGGAGAGGCAACCAACTCAGGAGTCAGATCCCTGGCCAGACTAAAAGCGAACATTCAGGCTATAATTTTGGGGTTAAAAAAATGTTGTAGGAGGGGGGGAAAACACAAATGAGCACACAAAAGTACCCACAATATCTTGCAACTCATTTTACCTGAACAAAGATAACAATTCTGATTGGCCCAATTTAAGTTACAGATTCATCCCTGCAGATATAGTTTTGAGTTGCACTTGAAGTACATCAAAGAGAGGAAAATCATCGTGGTGAATGTCCTCGAGTTTCCGCAGACACCTTTGTGGTCGGCATGGTCACGTGCTCACCATTCAACAGCAATGCGAGGATGGACGGCCCGGGCTGGGGACGGGCCCTCTAGAAACTGTGCCCTGCCAGGCTGCTCTCCGGCACACCTCCCGTCTGCTGCTGGAACACGTCGATGGTGTCCTCGTCCTCCATCTCCAGCTGTCATGGTTGTCACAACAGGCACAGCGAGAGAGAGGGGAGCCTGTTAGTTTTCATCAGAGAGTGGGAAGATCCTCACTGGCATGAGTGTTCCCTGACACTAGCGACATCACCTGGTCACACCTTGGCTCTTGTCCGTCCCCTCACTGCAGCTCAGCACGCATGGAAGAGGCATTGCTGTATGCTCACTACAGCCCTTACGGTTCAACAAGCTTCCCCTAACAAAACTCACAAAAGCAGATTCAAAGCTAAAATGTTAACTGAGAGAAAAACTGAGTCTAGAAGATAAACTGAAATGTCTAAAATTCTTACTGAAAATTACACAAAATCAGATTCTAATTAAGAACATCTGATTAGCAGCACTGAGTCCTAGGACCCACAGGAGCCTTGCGCTTTATACCAAGTGCGGGGGACCATGCCATGAAAGCCAAAGCCCCCAGCTCACAGAAGGGCCCGTCAAGTGAGGGTCCATTGCCAGCTTCTCCCCGCCCCTCCCCATTTAAAGCCCAGGCAAGGTAGTGAAACACCCCCGCTCACTTCTCTCCTCCTGACACAGTGGGCGCAAAACACCCACCCTGATCTTCTTCCATCCTCTAAGCAAGAGGAAGCTTCTGCCAGTTCCTACACAGACTCAGCAAGGCTGGAAGTAGTCATGCTCCCAGATGGAAAGGAGTCCCATCAGGGCTGTCGGCCACCCTCACCCTGCCACCGACACTATGGGCTGGAGGGAGAGCCCCCAGGCAGGGCTCCCTCTGCCTCTCGGTCCACCTGTCCACAGCCAGCCCCCTGACCCCCAGTCAAGCCCCAGAGACTCCACGAGGCCCTCCCTGCTCAGCTGCTCTCAGCAGCTTCTCCCTGGTGAACACTCCCAGAGCTGCCACTGCCTCAGCGGTGTGTAGGTTTCCTCAAGTAGGTACAAATGGATACTTGTTGCAAAGATGTTTTCAATATTTATTAAATACTGAATAGTAAATATTTAAAATCTTAAATGTTTTGCAAAAATATTTCCACATAAAACATTCCAGTGGATTCTCACAACATTGAAAGGGAGAAAAAGCAGGTATTGGTTCCATTTATGGACAGACAAAACTGAGACTCCACAAGATGAAGTGATGCTTGGTCACGGGGCCATCAGCTGACAAATGACAAGAGCTGCAACTTGAACCAAGTTTAAAAAAAAACTCTGTTTCGGCCGGGCGCGTTGGCTCATGCCTTTAATCCCAGCACTTTGGGGGGCTGAGGTGGGCAGATCACAAGGTCAGGAGATCGAGACCATCCTGGCTAACATGGTGAAACCCCGTCTCTACTAAAAATACAAAAAAATTAGCCGGGAGTGGTGGTGGGCACCTATAGTCCCAGCTACTTGGGAGGCTGAGGCAGGAGAATGGCGTGAACTCAGGAGGCAGAGCTTGCACAGTGAGCTGAGACTGCGCCACTGCATTCTAGCCTGGGCAACAAAGCGAGACTCCGTCTCAAAAAAAAAAGTCTGTTTCCAGGTCCAAAGCTCTTTCCATGACAGTATGATGCCCTGCAACGTGATAGATGAAATCTCATTCATGTCTGCATGTGCCTGAGAGAAACGAGCTGTGCAGACTGATAATCAGGGGTTATGGCACATTCTGCCCACCCACGTCACTTGTGCAAGATGCTTAAAGGGCACAAGAATCCAGCTGGCCCCTAAGCTGCACACGGGCTACAACAGCAAGCGTCCAGACAATGAGTGGGAAGGGGCCGCTGAGTGGTCCTTGCACCCCCGCTTCCCTTACAGTGAGGACGGGCCCAGCACTTGGCTCCATCTCCAAACAGCAAGAATGATGTCTGCAAAGCAGTTTTCTCATTTGAAAATTTAAATTTAAAATGTGAAAAATAAATAATCTAATAATCAATATCATTAAGGCATTCTGTATGAGCTCCCACCTACAATTCTCAAATAAGCGTATCCCAAATGGCAGTTACCCCGCACAAATCGGAAGTCGCCCTGGAACCACGCGAAGCCAGCTCCGTACCTGTGCTGGAGTGTCAGTTTCATTGATTGGCTGCCCGTCGAACCTGAATCTGATCTGCCTCATTGACAAGCCCTGGAAAGGAAAAGCAGTGGCCATTAGTCTCACTGGCAAGCCCTGGAAAGGAAAAGCAGTGGCCATTAGTCTCACTGACAAGCCCTGGAGAGGAAAAGCAGTGGCCATTAAACATTTCCAGATACGGCTTAATTCAAAAACCAAATATTTTAATCCAAGTATCAGCATTCTGATATGCAGATTTATGATCCAGCTCAGTATTAAAAACTCACCAGTGGGCCTACAATCTCTTTCACGCGGTGCCTGACACCACTGCTTTCAGAACCCACTCTTCTACCATCTTCTCTCTGATGAGCTAAAACGGCTCATTTTCAACCCAGGTTTTGTTACACCATTGCATACTGGGAACTTCTTAAAGCCAAACCAGTGGCAGTTCAGTTTCAAAGCAGATAGGTAAGTGGTCCATGGCAGAAGGAAAGCCGACTTACATTCAAACACCAGAACACAAGAGACGTCCTAGACTAACATCCAAACTCATGTACCTCTAAAATCCACCCTTTCTTTACATACGAAACCCAGGTGAGGAAGCGTAACACGTCACAGTGACGCTAGCTCAGACAGCTGTCAGCCAGGAGGTCTCTGAGGAGCAGGAGAAAAGCTGGACTAGCATTGGTGATGTGCCAGGGGAGGGGAAATGAGCCGCCAGGTGAATACTAACCTTCCAGTGGCTAGCTTTTCAATCAAAGTTTCTCAGTGCAGTGGCCGTGTGGAATGGTCAATTCAAACACTGAATCTTCTCTGTCCTGGTGCCCTGACCTGTCCTGGGTCATCCCTCCCATCTTTCCAGAAGCCGAGTAGAACTTCTACAATGCTGGCACCACTACTTCCCCCCTTTACAAAGTTCTCAGCAAGGAACAGGTTGTGTGCCAATGAGGGACAGATAAGAAGGCTGCATGAGGCCGGGGAGCAGTTACCACCATGACTTTGGCCTTGAGGAGGGCAGCAGGAAGGAGAGCACGCAGCCTTTCTGCGTCCTGAGGGAATGGAGAAATGTGGTCAGGGGCAGAAACATTTCCTCAACGAGCAGTTTTGATTTAACTGAAACAGGACAGACGGGGTTAAAACGTGCATCTCTGCTCCCTCCTGAAACCCCACTGAAATGAAGTAAATGAAAAAGGCACAAACAGGAAGGACAAAGAAAACGGGAGTGGGGATGGGCAGATATGTCAATGCTGGGCTGAGCCAGAGGCTACTGAGGCGTGGACACTGGTGGTCTGATGGACACTGGACCAGGATCCTAGGGCGGAGGGACTGGGCACGCCCCAACCTGTGAGGCAGAGCTGTGGCAGGCAGCTGATTCTGAACAGCTGCCTGGAAGTTCACATGCAGACCCCTCAGGCAGGACCCCCACAACCCTGTGCCTCCCACGGCAGCACACATGAGATGTGCTTTCTGAGAAGGTGGGTGCGGAGCTCCAGGCGCAGGGCGGAAACAGGCCCACGAAAGCGCGTGCCCTCAACACTGTGCGCCAAGTCCCCTCTCCCCTCCAGATGCGCCTCCAGGAGGCTGGCCGGAGCCTGGAGGACTCAACTCTCAAACTGTAGCATCTGGGCGCCTCCAGAACCTGCAATCCAGACAGATCACCCCATGTGGATGCACAGCCCTGGCAGCACAGCCATCCATGTACACAGCTTTTCAGCAGCTTCTCGGTGCTCCATGCTTGCACAGAAGTCAGCCTGCGTGAGAGCAGTCAGGGAAAGGCTCACTGTGCAGCAGCCTAGAGAGGAGGGGAGGAGCGCAGAGGAGAACGGACAGGAAGGAGGCAGGAGAACACTCCCAACACAGGCACACACATGCCCACACCCACACATGCCCACACCCACACACATGCACACACCCACACATGCACACCCATGCACACACCCATGCACACACCCACACATGCACACACCCACATATGCACACACGCACACACCCACATACACACACGCACACACCCACACATACACACACACGAATGCACACATGCACACACCCACATACACACACATGCACACACCCACATATACACACAGGCACACACCCACACATACACACACAGGCACACACCCACACATACACACACATGCACAAAGACACGGACATACACACCACACACACCTACACTCACGATTCAAATTCTATGGGAAGTAAAAAATACTACTACCTTCAGAAAACAATCAATTGCTACTGAGGATGGGTGCGGTGGCTCACACCTGTAATCCCAGCACTTTGGGAGACCGAGGCAGAAGGATCACTTAAGCCCAGGAATTCCAGACCAGCCTGGACCACATAAGGAGACCCCATCTCCACAAAATAAAAAAATGAGCCAGGCGTGGTGGCGTGTACCTGGAGTCCCACCTACTCGGGAGGCTGAGGTGGGAGGATCACTTGAGCCCCAGGGCTCAAGGCTGCAGTGAACCATGATCACACCACTGCGCTCCAGCTTGGGGGACAGAGTGAGACCCTGTCTCAAAAAAAATAAGTTGCTACTGAGAAAAAAAGAACACTCAAAGAACAGAAAGAAAAAAGAACTTTTGGAAATTAAAAATCATGACAGAGATGAGAATGTCCACAGGAAGTGGAAAGATAAAGTTGAAATGACCTCCCGGAAAGAAGCCCAAATGCAACAATAAAGCCCAAAGCAAAATGGGAGAAAAATTATCAAATTTAAAATATCTAGGACAATGAGCAGCAGGAGGAACAGGAACTCCAAAAAGAGGGAACAGAGTCTGGAGAAGGATACAAATTATCAGAGAACTAACATAAGGCATATTTCCTGAATAAAAATAAACGTCCAGACCCATAAAGTGCCCAGCAGCATGAGTGAGAAAATCACCCACCTCTGAGGCACATAAGGAAACACTGAATGCCAGAATATGGTCCCAGATACTTCCAGGGAAAAACCAAGTTACAAACAAAGCACAGAGAATCAGAATCCACTGAACTTCTCACCTTTTTTTTTTTTTTTTTTTTTTTGAGACAGGGTCTTGCTCTGTCACCCAGGCTGGAGCAGTGATATGACCTCAGCTCCCTGCAGCCTCCACCTCCTGGGCTCAAACAATCCTCCCACCTCAGCCTCCTGAGTAGCTGGGACTATAGGCTTGCACCACCACACCTGGCTAATTTTTTTAATGTTTCGTAGAGACAGGGTCTCCCTGTGTTGCCCAGGCTTGGCACTGAACTCCTGACCTCAAGTCTTGAATTCCTGACCTCAAGTGATCCTCCCACATCAGCCTCCCAAAGTGCTGGGATTACAGGCATAAGCCACCATGCCTGGTGAACTTTTCACTTTTAACATTGGGAGCTATTCTCATGGCTGACCTCTGAAATAAAAAAGAAAAAAAAGTTTCAACCGAGAATATTACGTGCAGCCACATACTGAAGTGTGAAGGTTTATAAAAGCAAAAGTCACGTTCAGCCATGCAGTGTCTCAAAGACGCTGCCCTTCTGTGCCCGTTCTGACAAGACCCTGGAGGATGTGCTCCACCACAAAACACAAAAGGGAGGAGGACTAATCCAGGAAACACCCAAGAGAGAACCCAAGTTTCTAGAAGGATTTGAACAGGAGGCCCTGGACCACGGCTGAGCAGCCAGCCTCACAAGCAGCAGTGCAGGTGGGGCAGGAGGGGAGCTCCGGGAGAGCAGGGGGAAGGGCAGAGCCCCCCCCACATGTACACGGCCCCACACGCCTGCCATCCCGCAGCGCAGAGGAGAACATGGGCACCCGGGAAGTCACACACACAGTGGCCACGAGCCCAGGCAGTACAAACTCCAGCAAGGGCCAGGGCCCAGCATCAGGCAGAGGCTGGATCACGGGGCCTACACGGCGCCAGGCCACTCACTCTGCTGGGAAGACCGGGACCTGCGTGTCTGGAAGCTCAGTCTCACCTTTCGCAGGTGAAAATAAGATCTGCCCTCAGCAAACACAAAGAAAGGAAGTCAGGGGCTGCTTGCCAATAAAGAATGCAAGGCAGTCGCCAGTGACTGCCCCTATGAGCAGGGTATCCAAAGTGGGAGGGAAAGAGGAGGAAATCTAACTGAAAATCCACAGGCAAAAGAGTAAAATAAAAGGGCAACGAGTTGCTGTATTTTCAAAGCGGCTGAAGAAAAGCAGCCTCTAGGTCCCACTCAGGCAAGCAGGGCTCCCTGGGGAAGGGCGCCTGGCTGCAGGGCCGGGCCCCCAACACACCAGGCAGCAGCTGGTGGGCAAAGCCCATAAAAGTGGCCTAGAGAGGGACCCCCTGGCCCAGGGTGAGTCCGCCACAGCGTTACCAAGAACAACAGACACACACACACCACGTCACAAACAGCAGCCAGAAGGCATCCACCCAGCTGGGCACTGCCAGTGGGGCAGCTCATTATCCTGAAACTGGGGAAGAAGGGGAAAGAATCACGCGCTTTCTTGCCTTTCCTAACAAAATGGAAAACCACACCGCACATGAGGGCAGTGTCTCTCCAGGGTCAGGCCAGCTCATACGCGAGGACAGGGTGACAGCGGCGTGGGGCACACGCCACCTGCAGCCCCAGAATGGCCAGACCTGAGCAGGGCCCCCAAGAGCCTTCAGCATCACAGACTTCACAGATGTTAGTACCCCATGGAGAACACAGCACCCCGGGCAGCCGCCCTGTCAGGAAGAAAAACCCACCACACTTCTCCGAGCCTCTAGGTCCCTCCACCTTATAAAAGGCCATGGGGGACAAGCCCAGCCTGGACTAATTTTACAGCACAAGCCCCCGCCTGCCCATCCACGAAGAGGGCACCTCGGGCAGCTGCATCTGGGTCCAGCCCCGAGACGCTCGTGCTCTGGGGATGCCTGGAACGCACAGGACCAGTGCGCACACGGGGAGGCTCTGCGGGGGAGCAAGGTGCCGCACCTGCCTCTCGCAGTAGGCCTTCATCAGCTTGCTCAGCGGCGTGTGCCTCTTGATCTTGAACTGCACCACGGAGCCGTCCTGCCCGGCCACCTTCAGGTTGATGTGGTCATTCTCTGTCTTCACACCCTCCTGCAGAAGACACCAGAGACTGGCCTCAAAACTGTGTCTCAAAATAACCGCGACTTGAATGGGCAAGTCTTTAGGTAATTGTTGGCTTTTTAAAGTCATCAAAACCAACCTAATTCTTAAAATTCTCCAGCAATTCAGAGTCACTCGTGATGGTTTTATTTTTACACAGAATTTATTTTTAACTTCCACTTGTTAAGCATCCATGTGTAAAACAATGCAAGCCTAGGGTCCTCTGACATTGTTAATTCAAAGAAAAAAACAAAGTCTAGGGAAAAATAAGAGAAAATCCATCTTTATTTTAAAGTTATTCTTGTGGGCTGGGCACAGTGGCTCACACCTGTTATCCCAGTACTTTGGGAGTTGACGTGGGAGGATGGCGTAAGCCCAGGAGTTTGAGACCAGTCTGGGCAACAGAGCAAGACCCCATCTCTTTTTTAAAAAATTCTTATGAAACCAGTAAAAACACATATCCAAAAGTCATGCAGCTATACAGCACTAGTAAAAGAAACCAAAAACAGAAGAAAACATTTGTGACTCAGAGGAACCCTATGGGACATTCAAGTGGTGATTTCGGGAATCCAACTGAGGACGGCCACTCCCCACAGCAGGCGGCCAGGCTCCTTCTCGCTGCCCTGACATCAGCAAATGTGAGGGAAGCCACCTCCGAGTACTTTCTGGTTTCAAACTGTCCTATCTGAGCGGCAGTAGGTGGTACTATTTTATTTTTTAATTCATGCCATACTTGAAGCTACTCAACAATGGCACAATCGGGGTGTCTTGTTGCCTGAAAATGCATTTTGAGTTGAGGCAAAAAGCTGATGTCAAGAGACTGGGAGCCAACTTCGGGGCAGCTCAGTCTGAGCCGAAAAGTGGGGCACCCCTCTGCCGGCCTGCACTGCTGGGATAAAGTCGTTTGTGAGTGAAGCAATGAGGCAGGGCCCTCCGGCTCACTCTGAAAGTCAAGTCTGGGGCGTCCTGGTACCCTTTCACCCCATGCTGAGCTGCTGCCCTCAGGAAGCACTGTACATCACACGCCTGTTCTCTCCACTTCTCCTTTCCTTCCCTGGCTGGGAGAGGGACAACTGTCCCAGCGATGCCTAAATACAGGGAGTGGGATGTAGAAGGCTCGCCTGAGGGTGAACCCAGGGACTGCACCCATGCTTGCTTCCCTGGGGTATGCACCCTGGGGAGACCCTGGGGAGGCATGGTGCTCTGTCAAGGGAGCTAGAGTGGCCTGCAAGGGGCCTTGGCAGTGAGGGGCTCCAGCTGCGAGCCTGAAGGTGCGTGTCCTGGGGCGGCACTCACCCCCCGACTCCAGTCTTGGGCCAGACACCCCTGCCCACTCCCGGGATGCCAGTGGCTTGGCGGCAGCCTGAGTGGTGAGCTGGCACACCCCCATCTCCCCATCCCGAATGTGGCCTCCAGCACAGAGACAACTGGCCTAGGAAGGAAGAGCATGCAAACAGCTCCAGGCAGGATGGAAGTGGGGACCCCTGCATGAGCCCCCTTCACTTCCCCAAGCATGAGGATGCACTGGCTTCTTTAGGGAAGGAAGGTATGAGTGTGTTCAAAGGCACAGATGCAGGGCCCAGACGTCCCCCACAGGGTAATGGCTGCAGCCCCGGGGGGAATGGCTGCAGCCCCGGGAGAGGCTGGGGCAGGGCAGGGCCGGCCACAGTGCCTCTGCTCCAAACAGAATGACGATCTGTCCCAGACCCCTGGTGAATTCCTAATAAGCAAGTGAACTCGTGAGTTAAAAAGTGAAGCCCTAAAAACATGGGCCTCAGTTTGCTACAGTCAATCCTCCACCTCAGCTATCCAGGGAAGTCAGAACCATTCTCCTGCCTGACCTAAAAGCTCTTCTTTCCAGCACCACCGGGCCCCAGAGTCCACCTCTTCCCCTTCGTCAGAGCCCCAGAGGGCAGAGCTGCTCCCACATGGGCTCAGAGGGGACCCACCAGAAGCGGGGCCTGTGAGGTGGCAGCCACTCAGTCATTCTGGAATTAAACAAGTGTTTTCAACGGAACTGGAGCCTGAGATTGACCACATGGCAGAGCTAAGTGTAAATACTGCTGAGAAAATTAATATCATATGTATTTTATTACATTTACTCTTCATTAAGAGGAAGCCACCTACAAAAACATAAAGGACATTTATATTTGACCTAGTTTTAACAAGTATTTAAATATTCAAACAACCCCAGAGTGGGAGAACTTTGACTTCACTGGAGTCAAAATGTAAAAAGCAAAGGTCACCCCAAATGCCATCTGGATAGGGCAGGTTTCCCTGGAGTCTGACCACAGCAAGCAGAGTGCAGACTTCCATAGAGGCCGCGACCATGGTTCCTGACGGTTCCATCCCACTTCCCGCCAGTGTCTGGCACTGAGCCTCCACCCTCATCTGTAAAGGGAGGGTGGTCACCTCCAGGACCAGGCCAGTATCAGAGACAGCCTCTTTACAGAGCCTTCAGCTCTAGTCATCTTCCACTGGGATGTAACATAGAGGCCGACAGTGCACACCAAGGGCTTCGGAAAGGTTCTCTTTTTATGAACACTGGAGAATGCGACTACAGACCCTCCCGAGAAGGAATGGCCAGTGCACCTGAATGCAGGGTGCATACCCCAGGACTGAGACTGGAGGGAGGCACACCCCAGCATGGCAATGGGGGAGACTAAAGCCCACCCAAGGCTGGATAAGGAGGGGTGGGCGCGCATGGTGGGGGAGGCGCAATGCAGAGAAGTGGGCGCACACCGTGGGGCGTGATAGGGAGGGGTGGGCACACACTATAGGGGGCGTGATGGGGAGGGGTGGGCGCACATCGTGGAGGGGGTGATGGGGAGGGGTGGACGCACACTGGGGGTGTGATGGAAAGGGGGACGCGATGGATAGGGGTGGGCGCACACTGGGGGACGCGACGGGGAGGGGTGAGCACACACTGGGGGTGTGATGGAGAGGGCGACGCAATAGGGAGGGGTGGGCGCACACCAGGGACGCGATGATGGGGACGGGTGGGCGCACACCAGGTGGCATGATGGGGAGGAGTGGGTACACACCATGGGGGGCGTGATGGGGAGGCGTGGGCGTACACCGGGGGGCGCGATGGGGAGGGGTGGGCGCACACCGGGGGACGCGATGGAGGCGGTGGGTGCACACGGGGCGCGATGGGTGGGAGTAGGTGCACACTGAGGGCACGATTGGGGAGACACGAAGGAGAGGGGTGGGCGCACACTGGGGGACGCGATGGCCGGGACACGATGCGGAGAAGTGGGTGAATACCGGGGTCGCGATGGGCGCCCTGGAAGGACGGCAGTGCTGCTCACAGGGGCCAGGCCCCTCAGAGCGCGCCCCTTGGGGGTAACCCCAGACGCTTGTTCCCGAGCCGACTCCGTGCACTCGACACAGGATCCCGCACCCAGGGCGATGCCGGGGGAGAGGGCGACCCCAACCAGCAATGACTCAGGAGAGGAGCACGCAAAGACGCTTCGGGGACACTGCTGGGGCGGGATCCGAGGGCGCCGCGCTCTGCAGGAGCAGCAGCGCGGGGCCCGACACCGGGCGCTCAAGGAGGCGCTGGGCGCGCGCCTTCCCAGCTGGGGAGGAGACGGGCGTGGAGCGGAGGCGTGGCCAGGCCCGGAGGGGGCGGAGCTCGCGGCACAGCGCGCTTCGCGGGGGCAGAGGGGGCGCACCTTGGGCGGGCCCACTTAGGGGCGGGGCTCTAGAGGGCGGGGAGGGGCGGAGCCTGTCAGGGGCGGGACGCGGGGCGGAGTCGGGGTGGGGGCGGAGCCGGGCTGGGGGCGGGACGCCCGCGATAGACGCGCGTGCAGGCGGGGTCGCCGCGCTTACCTTGGGCTTCTCCTCGGACATGGCTGCGCGAGCGGCGCGGGGAGGCGGCGCGGGGGAAGCAGCGCGGAGCGGGCGAGTCACGCTCTCGGCCCCGCCGCTCTCCCGCCGCAACTGTGCGCGGGGCCGCGCTTTATCCCCCAAATCCCGGCGCACCCGTTGGCCGGCACGGGGGTCACGTGGCTGCGCGCGTTCACGAGGCGCGCTCCCCGGGGCGTCGGGCGCGCGCAGGCCGGGCCGCGGCTCTGGGCGGTTGGAGATGCGTCACGGGGCGGGTCCCGCGCGACCCCGTCGGGCGCGGAAGCCCTAGGGCGCTGTGGGGCGCGGGCCAGGAGCGTTTACGGGGAGCCCGGGCCCTGGGGACCCTTGCCCGCCTCCCCGCGTCGCCCGGGCCCCGACTCCTTTCCTGGGGGCCGCGTTCCTGGGGCGCCGGGAAGTGAGGCCGGGGCCGCCGCCCATGGCCGCAGGGACCTGGGGCGGAGGAGGGAGGACGCTGGGGGTGACGTTCCCTCTCAGGAGCCGCGGACAGAGCGGAGAAGGCGGCCCGCGGGGTCCCGTCCGCGGGGGCCGCGCGAATCGGGCCAGCACCCTAGACGATTGGGGGCGCCACCCGCCTCCCTGCCGCCGCGGTTTCCTGTCAGCCCCAGGCCGGGCTCCTTTGGCCAACGCTCCTACGGGGCTGCCCCGGGCCCTCCACACCCGTCCTCAAGAAGACCCGTTTTACCTGTGAAGAAACTGAGGCACTGGGAGGTCAAACCACCCCCAGGTCAGCGCTGGTGAGCGGCGCCGAGCTTGGCCAGGCCGCCACGTCGGCGAGCGCGGGCAAACCCAGGCTGGACGCCGCCAGTGCCGGCGGAACGGGGACCTCGTGGACGCGGGAAACGCGCTGGGCCGGCAGGACGGCCTCCCCGGACTTGCGGGCGCCATTCCTGGGGTGCCTGGCCCGCCCCGGCCTCCATGTCTGTGATCCCAGGGCCTCGGATGGAACGGACCTGAGGGCGGACACCCCTGCGTCCCTCAGGAGTGCCCGGGTGGTGCCAGCCGGGGCGTGGCGGAGGTCTCATCTGATGGTGAGCCCGGCCGAAGGCGGGGGAGGCCGCACTTCAGGCTCAGCTGGGAAATGGCAGGGCCTGGATTTGAACCTAAGCGTCTGAGCCGTTTCTGTCCTGCCTGGGAAAGGCTCAGCCAACTGAGCAACGTCGCAAAGCCATGGAGACAAGTCTTCATGGACCATAACTTCACAAACCGTCTTCTACTCAAAAATTCACTTTCTTGGCTAGAGCCCCCACTTAGGAGGGGGAAGGCTGCTGAAGTCTTTCGGGGAGAGGGTCTGAGAGTCAGCCCCAGTCCCAGGCAGGTCATAAGGTGTGGTCCCTTCCTTCTGGAACCTGGAGCCCAGGGCCTCAGCAGAGGATGTGGAGGTGGGTGGCCAGCTCAGACGGTCCTGGGAGGGGGCTCCGCAACCAGCCCCTTCCGAGGGGACGTGGCGCCTCAGAGCCCACAGATTGCTGGCCCTGGAAGTGCCCTAGGGCAGGCAGGGTTCAGAGAGTTATCGACTCCAAGACACCGTTAATCATAAAACAACACGACCGTAGGTAGCACAGACACACTAAACTCCGGCAGGCTGTGGATGACGGCAGCCCGCTTCAGTGTTGTGGAAGTGAGAAACACGCAGCTTAGAAATCATGAGACACAGAACCCAAATGTGTTACCGCTCGAAATTACGCCAGTTGCTGTGTCACGAAGTGATGCGTGACTACAGTCATGGATAAGGGAAAAAGAGGCTCAGATGACATTAGGTTTTAAAAAGCCAGGCTATAAGACAATGGTGGTCTGAATTCAATTCATGCTGTGTCTGTCTCCCACACTGTGACCTGCCCCGAATCCTTCATGTGACAGCAAAGATGCAAAAAGGCTCTGTCGCAGCTGTGGGGACACAAAGGACACCGCTGGTGGACCGAACGCCAAGAGGTTTCTGAAGGACACAGCCAAAGGGGATCGAATGGACGGAGGAACCAGAGCTCAGGAAAAACCGTGGCCTACCACGAGCACAGGGTAAAGAACCCAAATGGCCAGAGCCCCTCCGGAGGGTCGCCACACCTGGCGATGGTCCCAACAAGAAGACTCATGAGAAGGCAGGGAACTGGCAAATGAGTAACAGCATTGCTGACATGAAAGCTCGACCCACATGTGACTAGGAGAGGGGTCCTGGCTGAGGACGCAAAGAACTGCGAGACAAAGTCACAGGACTCTCCCATGATGGAGAAGTTAAGAGAGGAAAGGTCAGGGCTGGGCTGGGTGGCTCATGCCTGTAATCCCAGCACTTTGGGATGCTGAGGCTGGTGGATTACAAGGTCAGGAGTTCGAGACCAGCCTGGTCAACATGGTGAAACCCCGTCTCCACAAAAAAATTAGCCGGGCCTGGTGGCGCATGCCTGTAATCCCAGCTGCTTGGGAGGCTGAGGCAGGAGAATCGCTTAAACCCAGGAGGCAGAGGTTGCAGTGAGCTAAGATCGTGCCGCTGCACTCCAGCCTGGGCAACAGGGTGAGACTCCATTTCAAAAAAAAAGAAAAGAGAGAGGGAAGGTTGGAAGGCCGAGACACCGGGCATCAGTACAGGAAGGGCTACGTCCACCTGACAGGAGCTGCAGGAGAAGGTGGAAAAAAGGAAACCAGGACAAAATCAAAGACAGAATTGGAGAAAATATCTCTGAGGCCAGGCACGGTGGCTCACGCTTGTAATCCCAGCACTTTGGGAGGCTGAGGCAGGCGGATCACCTGAGGTCAGGAGTTTGAGACCAGCCTGAGCAACATGGTGAAACCCCATCTCTACTAAAAATACAAGAATTAGCTGAGTGTGGTTGTGTGTGCCTGTAATTCTGGCTCCTTGGAAGCCTGAGGCTGGAGAATCAGCTTGAACTCAGGAGGCAGAAGCTGCAGTGAGCCAAGGTCGCACCACTGCACTCCAGCCTGGGCAACAGGGCAAGACCCTATCTCAAAGAAAAAGTAAAAATAAGAAATTTCTCTGAACTAAAGAAATATTTGACTCCATAAATGGAAAGGGCCCCTGAGTATCCAATGGCTGAGTGAGAAGACTGACACAGATGCTTGGCATGTGAGGAGAAATCCCTGAGGCGTTCAGAGACGTTTCTACTTACAGTTAGGGAGGACTGGTTGCCTCAGACAAACCCAACAAAAATAGCCCAAAAATCAGTATAAAATATTCTTTAAATCTGTTTAAGGCTATCAGCTACCAAAAGAAGTCTTTCTGTGAGGGGCAAAGACCTTCCCCCACCTCAAAAAGAAAAGGGAAGAGTTTTTTTCCTTTGAGGCACTTGGTGATTAGTATCCTGTGTTAGCCTAGACTTCCATAAAAACATACAGACCGGGGGCCGGACGCGGTGGCTCACGCCGGTAATCCCAGCACTTTGAGAGGCTGAGCCAGGCAGATCACCTGAGGTCAGGAGTTTGAGACCAGCCTGAACAACATGGAGGAACCCCATCTCTACTAAAAATACAAAATCAGCCGGGCATGGTGGCGCATGCCTGTAATCCCAGCTACTCGGGAGGCTGAGGCAGGAGAATCGCTTGAACCTGGGAGGCGGAGGTTGTGGTGAGCCAAGATAGCACCATTGCACTGCAGCCTGGGCAACAAGAGTGAAACTCTGTCTCAAAAAAAAATAAATAAATAATACAGACTGGGCAGCTTAAACCATTGATAGTTATTTCCCAGCCTCCAGACAGTTCTAGAGACTGGAAGCCCAAAATCAGTGAGCCATCAGGGTTGGTGTCCGGTCAAGCCTCTCCTCCCAACTTGTATGCAGCCAACTTGGCGTGTTCTCACAATGGCCTTTCTGCTGTGTCTGCAGAGAGGGAGAGATCTCTGGTGTATCTTCCTCCTTTTGCAAAGACACCAGTCCTCTGGGATTAGGGCCCCACCCTTATCACCTCAGTTAACCTTAATCACCTCTTTAAAGGTTCTGTCTCCAAATGAAATCACATTGGAGGTCAGGGCTTCAACATGTGAATGCTGGGGGGACACAATTCAGTCTCACATATGCAGTGGAAAGAAGTTGACACACTGAGCAGAGCTTTTGCATCTCCTAGGGTTGGGGAGACAATAATTGGTGACAGCCCACAAGATAGGGAGACTCTGATGAGTGACCCAGACCTTCAGCTGAGAGCACTGAGGGCTGCAATAGGGGAGGAAGGCTGAGGGGTGAGTAGATCGTCCCTCTCAAAGTCTGAAACCAAGCTTCCAAAGGGCTGACTCCCAGACTAAGTTGATCTGCTCTCTTTCCCACAGCCAGCCCAAAGCAAAAGGAAATATGCAGAGGTAAATAGCATCATCCAGGGCCTCAAATTAACTAAAATATTTCCATATACAATATCCAGATTTAAAGTTTACAAAGAAAACCAGGAGACAAATGATCCAAAACCAAAAAATATATATATAAATAAAGTAGGAATAATTCCATGGGATTATCATGTCAACAGGATATTGACATTATCATACACTTTAAGGTAATGTGATTAATATGTTCAAGAAAATAGATTATGAGATGGAAATGTTCAGCAGAGAAGTGGGGTATATAAAAAACAATTTAATGGAAATTAAAAAAACAATAGCTGAAGTTATAAATTCAATGGATGGGTTTGAAACAGATTAGACACAGTGAAAGAGATGATTAATGAACTGAAAGATAGGTCAGAAGAAAATATTCAGGCTGGGTGCAGTGTAATCCCAGCACTTTGGGAGGCGGAGGTGGGTGGATCACCGGAGGTCAGGAGTTTAAGACCAGCCTGGCCAATATGGCAAAACCCCATCTCTACTAAAAATACAAAAAATTAGCCAGGCATGGTGGTGGGCACCTGTAATTTCTTGAACCCAGGAGATGGAAGTTGCAGTGAGCTGAGATCACGCCATTGCACACTAGCCTGGGCAACAGAGCAAGACTCTGTCTCAAAAAAAAATTGATCAAAGGTAACAAAACACAGATTACAAATGTACTATCAACATCAATCAGAATAGATTAAAAAAACACGTGGTTACATTCTAAACCTGCTGAAAACCAAAGACAAAGAGAATAGAAGCTAGACATATAAAGGAGAAACTAAAGGACTTACACCTGACTTTGTGACAAAACCATGGAAGCCAGGTGACAATGGAATTAACATCTTCAACGTGGTGAAAGAAAACAGCTATCTACATAGAATTTTATACCAAATGAAAACATCATATAAAGGCAGAAGTGAAATGAAGATATTTCAGAAAAAGCAAATCATAGAGATATGTGAAAGGCAAATAAAAACTTGGGACCCCAATTCACTCTGCCAAAAGGAAAAAATTAAGCTGAAAGCTGAGTCATGCAAGAAGCTGCCTTTCTTTTAGTTCCTAAGCAGATAGCTAGAGATAAAAGGTTAAACATCACCACAAGTAGCTGCTCTAAGTTCACCTTCTCTTATGGAAAGTGCCAATTTGCTGGGCATAAGATGAATACACAATTGACTCCTCCCCACCGGCTCCTTTTCTCTTGCACCATGTACATTCAGTCATGTGACCACACCCTTCCTCTTTCCCCTCTAGCCCACTTTTCCTCTTTAAATACTGAAGCCCTCAGAGTCATCTTTGGAGAAAGGCACAGACCACAGGCTGTTTCTGTGATTCCATGCTTTTTTCTCCCAGGAGTTGTTCTTAACCTTGGCAAAGTAAACTTCTAAATTGATTGAGACCTGTCTCAGATACTTTTTGGTTTGCAGAATTAACTGCCAGAAAGCATACACTAAAATAAATACTAAAAGGATTTCTTCAGCAGAGGGAAAGTGGCCCTGGACGGAAGTATGAAGTACAGGAAGGAATGAAGAACAATAAAAAGCCTGCATATCTGGGTAAATCTAAATAGACAATGACTGCATAGAACAACAATAATAATGTCTTCTGGAGTTCTAAATAGATGTGGAATTAGAAGAAGTGATAATGACAGCACGAGGCAGGAGGAATTAACGTGTTCTAGGGTTGTTGCAGTATCTAAAAAGTGGTAAAGGGGGTTCTAGCAGGTGAGGGATGTCTGAGCTGAAGCCTGAGGATAAAGAAGAGCCTGCCGCTCTCCCTCTCCCTCTCCCCACGGTCTCCCTCTCCCCACGGTCTCCCTCTCCCCCTCTTTCCACGGTCTCCCTCTGATGCCGAGCCGAAGCTGGACTGTACTGCTGCCATCTCGGCTCACTGCAACCTCCCTGCCTGATTCTCCTGCCTCAGCCTGCCGAGTGCCTGGGATTGCAGGCCCGCGCCGCCACGCCTGACTGGTTTTCGTATTTTTTTGGTGGAGACGGGGTTTCGCTGTGTTGGCGGGGCTGGCCTCCAGCTCCTAACCGCAAGTGATCCGCCAGCCTCGGCCTCCGGAGGTGCCGGGATTGCAGACGGTGTCTGGTTCACTCAGTGCTCAATGGTGCCCAGGCTGGAGTGCAGTGGCGTGATCTCGGCTTGCTACAACCTCCACCTCCCAGCCGCCTGCCTTGGCCTCCCAAAGTGCCGAGAGTGCAGCCTCTGCCCGGCCGCCACCCCGTCTGGGAATTGAGGAGCGTCTCTGCCTGGCCGCCTATCGTCTGGGACGTGAGGAGCCCCTCTGCCTGGCTGCCCAGTCTGGAAAGTGAGGAGTGTCTCTGTCCGGCCGCCATCCCATCTAGGAAGTGAGGAGCGCCTCTTCCCGGCCGCCATCCCATCTAGGAAGTGAGGAGCGTCTCTGCCCGGCCGCCCATCTTCTGAGATGTGGGGAGCGCCTTTGCCCCGCCGCCCTGTCTGGGATGTGAGGAGCGCCTCTGCCCGGCCGCGACCCCGTCTGGGAGGTGAGGAGCGTCTCTGCCCAGCCGCCCTGTCTGAGAAGGGAGGAGACCCTCCGCCTGGCAACCGCCCCGTCTGAGAAGTGAGGAGCCCCTCCGCCCGGCAGCCGCCCCGTCTGGGAAGTGAGGAGCGTCTCCGCCAGGCAGCCACCCCGTCCGGGAGGGAGGTGGGGGTCAGCCCCCGCCAGGCCAGCCGCCCCGTCCGGGAGGTGAGGGGCGCCTCTGCCCAGCCGCCCCTACTGGGAAGTGAAGAGCCCCTCTACCCGGCCAGCCGCTCCGTCCGGGAGGGAGTTGGGGGGTTCAGCCACCCGCCCGGCCAGCCGCCCCGTCTGGGAGGTGAGGGGCGCCTCTGCCCGGCCAGCCACCCCGTCCGGGAGGGAGGTGGGGGGGTCAGCCCCCCGCCCGGCCAGCCGCCCCATCCGGGAGGGAGGTGGGGGGGTCAGCCCCCCGCCCGGCCAGCCGCCCCATCCGGGAGGGAGGTGGGGGGGTCAGCCCCCCGCCCGGCCAGCCGCCCCGTCTGGGAGGGAGGTGGGGGGGTCAGCCCCCCGCCCGGCCAGCCGCCTCGTCCGGGAGGTGAGGGGCGCCTCTGCCCGGCCGCCCCTACTGGGAAGTGAGGAGCCCCTCTGCCCGGCCACCACCCCGTCTGGGAGGTGTACCCAACAGCTCATTGAGAACGGGCCATGATGACAATGGCGGTTTTGTGGAATAGAAAGGGGGGAAAGGTGGGGAAAAGATTGAGAAATCGGATGGTTGCCGTGTCTGTGTGGAAAGAAGTAGACATGGGAGACTTTTCATTTTGTTCTGTACTAAGAAAAATTCTTCTGCCTTGGGATCCTGTTGATCTGTGACCTTACCCCCAACCCTGTGCTCTCTGAAACATGTGCTGTGTCCACTCAGGGTTAAATGGATTAAGGGCGGTGCAAGATGTGCTTTGTTAAACAGATGCTTGAAGGCAGCATGCTCGTTAAGAGTCATCACCACTCCCTAATCTCAAGTACCTAGGGACACAAACACTGCGGAAGGCTGCAGGGTCCTCTGCCTAGGAAAACCAGAGACCTTTGTTCACTTGTTTATCTGCTGACCTTCCCTCCACTATTGTCCTATGACCCTGCCAAATCCCCGTCTGTGAGAAACACTCAAGAATGATCAATAAAAATAAATAAATAAATAAATAAATAAATAATTAAAAAAAAAGTGGTAAAGGGGAGGACAGACAAGTTTAAGATATTTTCAGAAATGCAAATATTCACTGGGTTTTCCATCCACGGATCCTCACTGAAAGAATCATCATGGATTCACTGCAGCAAAATGCAGATGGAACTCATGACAGGGACATTCAAGCAGAATCAGTGTGTGCTGTTGAGTGGACCGTGCACTGCACAACTCCAGGAACATTTGGAACCCAACTCCAGGAACATCTGGAACCCAACTCCAGGAACATCACTGGTTTTAAACTACAGTGTGATCGATGAGTTCTTTGAGAGTTCTGTATTGTTTCCTGGCTGGAAAAGAAAAGTGAGCAAAGAAACCAGCAAAAGTCATTTTTAATACTAAATACTTTGTGCTGCATACTGTAAAAAAAAAAAAATACGGTATCTGGGATTAAAATCCCAGCAGATTGTAACACAGCAGATGTAAGGTATAGATGGAGGAGAAGGAGACAGGAAGAAGGGAAGTACAAGCATACTACAGTTCTTGTCTGGTTCAAGGTGAAAACATAGATAAAGATATTAATATTTGTTGATAGAATAATGGGAGTTTAAACACATATAAAAATGCTCAAGTTATGTATGCACTTTCCTGTATGTATGTTTCATTTCAATGAAAAAGTGGTTTATAAAGAAAAAAATTTACCCACCTGGCCAACATGGTAAAACCTTGTCTCTACTAAAAATACAAAAATTAGCCAGGCATGGTGGCAGGCATCTGTAATCCCAGCTACTCAGGAGGCTGAGGCAGGAGAATCTCTTGAACCCAGGAGGTGGAGGTTTCAGTGAGCCTAGATTGTGCTACTGCACTCCAGCCTGGGCAACAAGAGCAAGACTTTGTCTCAACAAAAAAAAAAAAAAAAAAGAAAAAGAAATTAGGATAATCTGAAGGAAATTAAAAGTAGCTTTCAAACCACTGGGAGAAAAGCAATACAGCAAAAATCAACCAATGTAACAAATTCATTAAAAGAGATATAAACAATAAAAATAATAATGGAAGACAATGCGTAGCACTTATGTGAAATGCATTCCTCTGTATCTTTATATGTATTAATGATAGGAGGTAGCTACTATTATCGTGCCATTTTACAGATGTGGGAGCTGAGGCAAAATCATACAAAGGTAAGGTTCCACCTAGAATCTAGAAATCTGGGAAGAGCATTGCCCCTAACCTAAAAACAGAAACGCCGAATGACCTACAAAATCATCACTGTTCTTAAATCTACCAGGGAGCTGAAATTGCAATGTAATCAACCTGAAATCCAAGGATAGACAGGGTAATTGGCTCACCCTTGACAAGGAACAGGAGGAAGATGGAGCTGCTGTAAAAGTGGACGAGAAGAATTCAGACAACCTTATTAGAAAATTGCTTAAGACCAAGCGTGGGCTTCTGTGCGAATACAGAACCCCAAGAACTGGAGACACAATGGAGGCTCACCCTGCTTATAGGCTCTTCCACACATCACACCCTGGGCACTCACAGGAAAGGCTGGAGCATGTGGGAGGCCAGAGGAAGCAATATGTGATGGCAGAGGCCCTGGGAGGGGAGGAGCCACCACTGTGGCGGGGAGTAGGGGAAAAACCCCACCAGACAGTTTTTCCCTATGGAACAGATGCCTTAAGATGCCAGGGAGAGAGGAGCAGAAAATCCTGTCACCTAGGGACCTGTTGTGGCTGGGGAAAACAACAAGAAAATAATTCCACCTCTAAGGGAGGGGTTGAAACATATGTACACTCAGCCCGTCAGAGGTCTTCCATCTCCAGGGAAGGAACAGGATTACTGAAAAAAATTCCACTCTGAGACTCAAGGATGTGAGTCCTGCCTGAGACTGAGCAGGACCAGGGCAGAGAGAAACAAGCAAGAGCAGCCCTCCTGAGTGAGGGGCACCAACAGGCCCTGTCTCAAGGGCAGACATGCAAAGAAGACCTAAGTTAAAGGTGCAGAGCAGGCTCATTGAGAAAAGTCCTGCAGCAAACCATCCTCAACCCTAAGTTCAAGGTCATGCTACCCTCAAGGTGACCACAGCAACAGCAAAACTCAAATCCAGCTCAACTCCTAGCTTGATTGACTCAAACCCCCATGATGGCAACCTAATGGGGAATGTCCATTTCCAGATAGAAATACTGTTGTCTCACATACAATGGCTGGCTTTCAGTAAATAATTATGAGGCACAAAAAAAAAAAAAAAAGGGAAAAGAAAAATCACAACCAGGAGACAAAAATCAGTAGAACCAGATTCAGATATGACTCAGATGCAAGGATTGTCAGATAGGAATTTATCTTAAAGGTTCTAGTGGAAACAGTAAACAATATGAATGTCAAGGTGAGGAGCTTCAGCACAGAGATTGAAATGCTAAGAAAGAGTCCAGTGAAAATGCTAGAGAGGAAGCCCACCTCCAACAGGCTCATGAATAGGCTCAACACAGCCAAGAAAAGAAGCAGTGAGCTTCCAGATAAGTCCACAGAAATTATCCAAGCTAAAAAACATGAGGAAAAAGTGGAAAACAAACAAATGAAAACATCAGACGTAAAAGAGCAAGCAGAAGCCCTGGAGTAATCTCAAATGGTCTAACATATGTGTAATTGGAGTAACAGAAGAAGAAGAGAGAATGAGGGAGAATAATTATTTTTAAAATAATGGCAAATTTTTTTTCAGGAATAATGAAAGACACCACATCACACATCCAAGTTCAGAAAACCATAGCCAGGATTAAAAATCTTTTTTTAGAAAGAAAACACCATATTCAGCTGCTCAAAACCAAAGATAAAGAAAACATCTTGAAGGCAAATAGAAAAAAAAAAAAAAAAAAGGACACATTACACCCAGAGGAACAAGGATAAGAAGTACAACACACTTGTTAGTAGAAACTATGCAAGCCAGAAGACAATGAAGTGACATCTTTCAAGACTATGAACCCAGATTTCTATACCCAGCAAAACACCTTCAAAAATGAAGAAGAGACTTCCAATGCTGGACAATACGGAGCAAGCTCTTTCCAGCCTACATTCTTACTGAAGACAACGGAAAGCTCTGGATAACACATAAAAAAGTATCTGAGGACTCGGGAAAGTTAACAGTAGGAAGCAAATTAGGGAATGAGACTGAAACACAAAGAAAAAGCTGGTGAGTGATCCCAAGTATTTTTCGTCTTTCATCACCCAGCTTAGACCGCAGGCTGACCCCTGTGTGGAACTGCACAACATGTGTGGACAGAAAAAACTACAAAAGAAATTGTTTTTTTTCTGGCCAGAGGAAAAGAGACCCTGCAAGCCAAAGCATGTGGATTGAATTCAGATTTTTTGTTTGGTTTGGTTTTTCACTTTTTTAATCTTTCCCAGCCCTCTCCCAAGAGTGTCCCGTCATAGCGCTGCACTAGGGTGGCAGAATGGACCCCAAACCTCAAGAGAAATACACATTTTCTGGCCACAGACCCTAGAAGAAAGGAGCCTTGTGATCCAAAGAGCATTAGGGAAGTTCCTGTTATTTTCCCCTCTCTTTTCTCTTGCTGCTTAGTCCATGGGCAACGTCCCTGAAACTGTGGTGGAGTATGGGTGGTTAAAGTTCCCAGAGAAATCCCTTCCTTGTAACCAGAGGACTGGTAAAGGGGGCTCTTGGGGGCTGGTGAATGTGGTAGAAATCTCAGCAAGGAGAGAATTGAAGACAGGGGTCCCCTGACTCTGTGAATGAATCAACCCTGAGCTGGGCATGGTGAGGCAATTCAAAGCAACATAGCAACAGCTTTGAGAAAGAACTGAGAGTGAAATCTTGGCCCCTGGGAGGTGGGACAGAGCTCGCATTCTGAAACTGACAGGACAGGGTGCTTGACAAAACAAAAAGAAAAAAATAATCATCCTCCAAAGGATTTTAACAGGACCCAGAGTCTCACAGCATATCAAAGTGGCCAGTATAAGATTTAGTTACTTGGTATACAAAGAACAAGGAAAATGTGATTAATTCTCAAGGGAAATGACACCAACATATGTCAACCCAAAATGATGTGGGTGTTAAGATCACCAGACAAAAACTTTTGCTGGTTGCTTTTTGTTGCTGTTTGAATTTTTTTAGAGATGGTGTTACCAGTGGAGGGTGTCCAGGTTCTTGGCGTTTTGAACAATGAATTGGATGAAGCACACAAAGCAAGGAAAGAATGGAGTGACAAAAGCAGAGACTTATTGCAAATGAAAGTACACTCCACATGGTGGGAGCCGCTGGAGAATAACGGCTCAAGACCCCTTACAGAATTCTCAGGGGTTTTGATACCCTCTAGAGACTTCCCATTGGTTACTTGGTGTCCATCCTATGTAAATGAAGTAGTGGCCTGCAAACATTCTGATTGGTTGTGGAAAGCAACCAATCAGAGGCTGAAGTGAAGTTACAAAGATCACGCCCTATGCAAGTGTATGATTGGTTGCGGAAAGCAACCAGTCAGAGGCTAAAATGAAATTACAAAGTTACGCTTCTATGCAAACAAAGACTTGGCCTGCAATCAGTCTGATTGGTTGCCAATCAGAGGCTGAAGTGAAGTTACAAAGTTACACTCCTATGCAAACGTCTGATTGGTTGCAGGAAGCAACCAAGCAGAGATACCTTCAATTTTCCATCTGCCACACCCAAAAGGGGTGGGGGTGGGGGTGGGGGTGGGGGGATTTGCAAAGGCAGCCTCCAGTTCTTTTGTTACTTAGGTGTGGAAAGTTGGGGTTTTCCTTCTGATTTAGTTCTAGGAAGTCAGCATGAATTGGCCTTAGGTTCCCTGCTTCCAGACCCTATTCTCCTGTCTCACCGGGGTCTTGCTCCGTGGCCCTGGCTGGAGTGCAGTGGCAAAATCATAGCTTGCTGCAGCCTCGAACTCCTGGGCTCAAAGCGATTCTCCCGCCTCAGGCTTCCAAGTCACTGGGACTACAGGCGTGTGCCACCGCACCCAGCTCTGCTGATTGCTTATTTAAGTAAAAGTTAAACTCTATTGAAATCATTAGAAAGACCAAGGTTCTCAGCAGAGAAGTAGAAAATATATTTTTTAAAGAAACTCAGAATTTAAAAATAATAATATCAGGAACTTTTTAATTCCCTGACTAGCCTCAAAAGCAGAATGGAGTTGTCAGAGGAAAGATTCAGCGAACCTGAAGGGAAGTCAGTAGAAATGATCCAATGTGAAGAACAGAAAATATTAAAACTAAACTAAACTGAGCCCCAGACACCTGTGGGGGAAAAACAAAAGGTCTAATTTTCATGTCATTTTGGAGTCCCAGAAAGATTGGTAAAGAAAAACTGTTTGAAGAAATAAAGACTCAAAAAAAATCACAAATTTAGTGAAAAGAGATCAATGTATAGATTCAAGAAGTTCAGCAAACCCCAAAGAAGATAAACTCAAAACCACAATCAGGAACGTGATAATCAAAGATAAAGAAAAAAGTCTTGCAGTCAGCCAGAGGAGAACAGTACCTCACCTTCAGGGGAAGCAGTTCGAGCCACTGCACACTCCTCATCAGAAACCGTGCAGGCCAGGAGGCAGAAATGACCCTGTGAAAGCGCCGAAGGCAATTCAGTTCAGAATTTAATATCTAGTGAAAATGCTCTTCAGGAAAGGCAGTGAAAAGACATTCTCAGACGAAAGAAAATAAAGAGAATTTATAGCCAGCAGGCTATGTTTTAAGAAATGATAAGGAAGTTCTTGAGGCAGAAGGGTATACGATAACCAGACAAGGAAGTGAAGAACCCCAGAATGGTTAAAATTAACTAAATATAGAAAACATTTGTTCCAGATTTTTAATCATCTGAAAGATAATTAACTGTTTAAAACAGGAACCAACAAACTTTTTCTGCAAAAGAACAGACAGTAAATATTTTATGCTTTCCTAGCCAAAGGCTGGGAGAGTCCTCAACTCTTTAAACAATTCTCATCACAGAAATGGCCCAGCACGGGGACTCACGCCTGCAATCCCAGCACTTTGGGAGGCCGAGATAGGAGGATCACTTGAGACCAGGAGTTCAAGACCAACCTGGGCAACATAGTGAGACCCCCATCTCTACAAAGAAATAATATTATTTTATTTTATTTTTTGAGATGGAGGATTGCTGTGTCGCCCAGGCTGGAGTGCAGTGGTGCAATCTCAGCTCGCTGTAACCTCTGCCTCCTGGGTTCAAGCAATCCTCCTGCCTCAGCCTCCTGAGTAGCTGGGCAGCACAGGTGTGCGGCACCATGCCTGGCTAATTTTTGTATTTTTAGTAGAGACGGGGTTTCACCATATTGGCCAGGCTGGTCTTGAACTCCTGACCTCATGATCCGCCCGCCTCAGCCTCCCAAAGTGCTGGGATTACAGGCATAAGCCACCGTGCCCGGCCTAGAAATAATATAATTTTAAAAAAGAAAGGCAAAGTCCTGTGGGAGAAAGAATACCTAGATGCCGAGGCAAGAGACTAAAGGCACAAACTGTTTCAGTATAATAAAGAAAATAGAATAAGAATAGTCATAATACAAATTAGATATACAGATGATCATGGACAATTATCAATCATTATTATAAACATTATTAATCATTAGCTTTTAACATTACTCTTTGTTACATTACTAATATAACCTAGGAATAACCGGCGGACATAGGGTCAGGTGCTGAAGGGACATTGTGAGAAGTGACCTAGAAGGCAAGAGGTGAGCCCTCTGTCGCGCCCGCATAGGGGCCGCTTGAGGGCTCCTTGGTGAAGCGGTAACGCCGGTGTCTGGGAAGGCACCTGTTACTTAGCAGACCTCGAAAAGGAGTCTCCTTTCCTTGGAGGAGTCAGGGAACACTCTGCTCCACCAGCTTCTTGTGGAAGGCTGGATATTATCCCGGCCTGCCCGCAGTCATCCGGAGGCCTAAACCCCTCCCTGTGGTGCTTCAGTGGTCATGCTCCTTGTCCACTTTCATGCTCCTCCCGTACTCCTGGTTCCTCTTTGAAGATAGCGGTAGAAAAAATAGTGGAAGTCTTAAAGTGTTTAATCTTTCTTGTAAATGCAGAGAAGAAAACGCTGATGTATGCTGCCTTCTGTCTCTGCTTTGGCTACCTAAGAGGGAAGGGCCCCCTGTCCTATGATCACGTGACTTGCTTCACCTTGTCAATCCCTTAGAAGATTCACCCTCCTTACCCTGCCCCCTTGTCTTGTATGCGATAAATATCAGCACGCCCAGCGGTTCGGGGCCACTATCGGTCTCCTCGTCTTGGTGGTAGTGGTCCCCTGGGCCCAGCTGCTTTCTCTTTATCTCTTTGTCTTGTGTCTTTATTTATTACAATCTCTCGTCTCGGCACATGGGGAGAACACCTGCTAAGCCCTGTAGGGCTGGACCCTACAGAGTCCTTTGGACTGTTTTTTTTGGGGGGAGGGGGACGGAGTCTCTCTCTGTTACTCTGTCACCCAGGCTGGAGTGCAGTGGCGCGATCTCGGCTCACTGCAAGCTCCGCCTCCCGGGTTCCCGCCATTCTCCTGCCTCAGCCTCCCGAGTAGCTGGGACTACAGGCACCCCTACCATGCCCGGCTAATTTTTTGTAATTTTTAGTAGAGACAGGGTTTTACCGTGTTAGCCAGGATGGTCTCGATCTCCTGACCTCGTGATCCGCCCGCCTCGGCCTCCCAAAGTGCTGGGATTACAGGCGTGAGCCACCGCGCCCGGCCCCTTTTGACATTTTACATTTAAAGTGTTTAAAATGTAAAAACCAAATAAATAAATAAATAAAATAAAATAAAATGTAAAAACCATTCTTAGCTCGTAGGTAGACTGCACTTCATCCATGGGCCATCGTTTGCCAACCCTTGGTCTAAAACAGACAGTTGCCATATAGTTGGTTTACAGCATTTGTAAACGTCAATCATAACTCAGCATTGTTATGGTGATGACGTCGTCATTGGTTATGACATCATCTATAGATTCAACATAACCCCAACCAAAATCTCAGCAGGACTTTTTGTAGAAATCAACACTCTGATTCTAAAAGTTCTAGGGAAAGGCAAAGGAACTAGAAAAGTTCAGGGAAATTTAAGGAACTAGAATAGCCAAACAGTTTTGCAAAGAACAGAATCAGAGAACTCACCATACCTGACTTGAAGTCTTAATATAAAGTCACAGTCATCAAATGTGAAGTGACAGGCACACAGATCACTATCCCTGAACACACTGACAGATCAGAGGTGGACACACACACAAATGGCCCGTTGATTTTTCACACAGGTGCAGCGACAATGCACTGGACAGAAGACATCTTTCTGTGCACAGAGAGACCTCCACGCCGACCTCAGTGGGGAGAATATGCCTTTCCGTGCACGGAGAGACCTCCACGCCAACACTGGTGAAGGAAATATGCCTTTCCGTGCACGGAGAGACCTCCACACTGACACTGGTGGAGAGAAGACGCCTTTCTGTACATAGACAGACCTCCACACTGACATCAGGCCCGGTCCCTGATGACGAAAGGCCCATTTTCCTCACGATGCGCCCGCCACCTCCCACTGCTTCCTGACCCCAAACAAGGTCACATCCCAACACGGAATGCTGCAGGGTTGCAAGCCCTCACCAACGTGTTCAGGCCAGGGTTGGAGAAATATATAGCGTACCAAGCCTGGCAGGTGAAATAAGGCTGGATTGGGCCGGGGGCACTGACCTAGGACATAGGGATTACTGTGTTGCATGAGGTACTTGGAAATGAGTTCCTCATCTGGCTGATAGACTCTCGGGCTCCACTGTGGCCAATTAGCTTGACACGATGGCCTTCCTGGCGTCCTCCGTGTGTGGCCCCTGCACCAGCGGCATCTACGTCACTCAGGGACTGGTCCCAAAGGTGGATTCTTGGGCCCCTTCCCAGGCTTGCCAAATCAGAGCCTTGGGGACCTGTGTCCTGGCGAGCCCTCCAGAGGGTTCCCATGCTGTGAGTGTGAGATGCGAGTTATGTGTGAATTCTTTAGGAATCCTGCTGACACGCAGCCTCTGACCCAGCAGGTCCTCGGTGGGGATGGACACTAGGTACTCCAGGTGCTCCAGGTGCTGCCAGTGCTGCTGCTGGAGGGGGTGCCTGCGAGGAGCCTCTGGAGCAGGGTTCTCAGCTTTGGCTAGACATTGGATTCACCTGGAGAGTAAAAAGAAACACTCGTGCCAGGCCCGCGAGGTCCATGCGTTGGTGCAGGGTCTGGCAGTGCAGGTATAAACACTCCTCGGTGATTCCATCGTGTAGCCAAGGCGGAGTCGCTGCCACAGAGGGTGAAGCGGAACGCTCACGGAGATAGGCGCTGGGCGGTTTGTGTGCAGCCTGCCTGCTCTCTCCCGGCCACATCCGGACACTCCCTGAACCAGGTCATTAAGGCGTGGGAAGGCTCACAGTTCCCTGGTGAGATTTCTGAGGCCCAAGACGTTGCAAGGGAGACGGGCTCCCAGATCTCAGGGGCGACGACAAGAACCCGGCGTGCTGGATGCCAGGTGTCAGCACTGAACGTGAGAGACAGTGGGAGTGGGCATCGCTGTAAGCCACGGAGGGAGAGGAACTCAGAGCTGCCTGAGCCACAGCGATGGTCGTGGTGGTGAATCCATCACAAGGAGACAGAGGCAAAGCTACCAAGCTATTGCCTGACATCTACAGGCAGGAAAACTCTAGGTCTGTTGGTCAAAACCCAACTGGAATCACCACAGTGGGGCCTCCTGAGCATCTTCCCGAGGTGCCTGGGACTTTGAAGGGGGAGCCTCCCATGGGTGTGGGCCACAGATCAGCCCCTGCTCCTTCCAAGGCCCCCTGGCCATTTTCAAGGGTCACGGAGTTCCAGGGAAGGACAGCACCCTCCAGGGTTATTAGGTGCTGGTTCTGCAGGGCCTGGCCAGCCAGCAAGGTCCCTGGCTGGAGTAGGGTCTCCCCGCAGTCGACCATACAGTGGGCCCAGCAGGAACACACACATTTAGCAACTGGCGGAGTCTCCTCTCTTCACTGTCGTTGCAGAAAGGGCCGAGTGAGACCACGTGCACCTGCAGCCCCCACCCCTCCCCAACCTTACCCCACCCCTGCAGCCCCCACCCCACCCCACCCCTGCAGCCCCCACCCCACCCCACCCCTGCAGCCCCCACCCCACCCCGTCCCCACCCCGTCCCCACCCCACCCCACCCCACCCGTGCAGCCCCCACCACACCCCTGACCCCACCATCCCTGCAGCCCCCACCCCACCCCATCCCCACCCTACCCCTGCAGCCCCCACCCCACCCCTGCAGCCCCCACCCCACCCCGTCCCCACCCCACCCCACCCCACCCCTGCAGCCCCCACCACACCCCTGACCCCACCATCCCTGCAGCCCCCACCCCACCCCATCCCCACCCTACCCCACCCCTGCAGCCCCCACCCCACCCCACCCCTGCAGCCCCCACCCCACCCCTGACCCCACCCCACCCCTGCAGCCCCCACCCCACCCCATCCCCACCCCACCCCACCCCTGCAGCCCCCACCCCACCCCTGTCCCCACCCCTGTCCCAGAGAGAGGGAACTAGAGACACTACCAGAGCCTGGGAACTGTGGAGGTCAAGGTGCCAGTCAAGGCTTGCATGACACGCAGTGCCCGTGTTGTGAGCAGAATCGTGTCTCCCTAAATTCCAGTGTTGAGATCCAAACCCCTGGGACCTCAGTGGGACTGTGTTTGGAGACAGGCTCCCTACAGAGATGATTATGTTAAAGTAGGTCACTAGGCTGGTCCCTGGCCCCATCTGACTGAAGTCCTTGTAAGAGCAGATGAGGACACAGACCACGTGAGGACCGGGGGAGGAGATGCCGTCTGCACGCCCAGGAGAGAGGCCTCAGGAGGAACCGGCCCTGCCGCTCCAGGACCTCAGACATGCAGTTTTCAGGGCTGAGAGGGAGCCAGTGTCTGTGTGAGCCACCTGGCTGTGGCGTCTGTCCTGGCAGCTGCAGCACACACACCCCACGGTCCACGAACCCCCTTCACAGCTGTCGCCAGAGCCACGTGGGGCTTGGAGAAGAACTGGATTGTCACGCTCTCAGTCAGGTGGTGATGCCAGTCACGCGAGGCTCCGAGGCAGCAGGTTTCAGGGGCACCTCCGTGCAGTCCCCGGCACCCAGGGTGCAGCCCCCAGCACCTCCGTGTAGCCCCCGACACCCAGGGTGCAGCCCCCGGCACCTCCGTGTAGCCCCCGGCACCCAGGCAGTCCCCGGCACCTCCGTGTAGCTCCCGGCACCCAGGGTGCAGCTCCTGGCCCGGCCTCTGCTTTGCCGGTTGCTTCCAGTCCTAGCAGCAAAGATCGCAGAGCCTCTGTCCTCTTGGGGTGCGGGGCAGAGCACGGGCACCATCTCCTCAGGGCTGGGCCCCCGTTCTTGCCCTACGACTCTGCAGAGACAATCGTGTGACTCGCAGCTCATGAATTAGCCTGGTAGACAGGAGGCCGGAGAAGCCCGGATGCCTGGCCTGGGTGCCCGTGTGTCCCAGGGGACAGACCCTGCCCAGCCCAGGGGCCTGCCATGCTCTCTGGACGTGTTGGGATGTCTGAGGGTGGGGCAAGAGAGAGAGAAGGAGAGGGAGAAAGGGAGAGAGGAGCGGAGAAGGAAAGAAAGGTAAAGAAGGAGAGGGTGGGGTGGAGAGAGAGAGGGGGGACAGGGCTGCTGTAGGTCCCTGTGGCCACGGCACAGGGTGGCTGTGGGCTGGGGGGCCTAAGGTTGGGGCCGGCCTATTCCTTGTGTGGGTGTGTGGCTCTGACCCAGCAGCAGGGCCATGCCTTTGCCCGTTGGAGCCCGGCTTGGAGCAGGAGCAGGTGGGGTGTAGGGCCAGGCTGCGGCACCAGTGGCCCTGGGGCCTGGGAACCTGCCTGCGGTGCAGGCGTCTGCCCTTCCTAGAGGAGGCGCTGGGTGAGACCCTCCAGGGTGTTTGGGGCCAAGCTGTGCGCACCTCTGATGCCAGCTGTTCTCGGTTTGGAAAGCGCTCACTGTGCATGTGGCGCTGGGGGCTGAGCTGCACGTTCCAGGCCCCCCCCCCAGGCCCCCCGCACACATCGTGGCCCACAGCCATGAGCCTCGCAGCACCACCATAAAGGGGAATCATAAATAGGGACCAGGTCCCAGAAGGTGCACACAGCGCGCAGGGCACCAGCGCCCGGGTACGCCCCGCCCACCGCTCCCAGTCTCACCCCTCCCAGACTCACCCCTCCCAGACTCACCCCTCCCAGACTCACCCCTCCCAGACTCACCCCTGGGGCTGCTGGCCCCGCCCACCCCTCCTAGGCTCAACCCTGGGGCTGCTGGTCCCGCAGAGCTGGGCAGCTGCTGCCTCAAAGCCTGGCCAGGCAGCCGGAGCGGGCAGGGGATCCCCGGAGCAGAACTTCAGGTTGAACATGGGCTTCCACCTCACGTGGAAGGAAGACAGCTGAGGCGTGGGTGTGAACAGGCTCTTGGGCAGTGGCTGTCAGGAGCCCAAGGCCAGGGGCATGCACAGAGCAGGGCTGGAGGGTCGCTGAGCAGGGGCCTGGGGAGGCTGTGTGGCTGGGCCTCTCAGAGCCATCAGAATGTGACAAACTTCCAGCCCCACCAAAGGCCACCAGGGGCACCCACTGCAGAGGAGGCCCCTGCTCAAGTGGAAGGTGGCCTGTCCCCTAGGCCTGTCCCCAGGCCCCCCATCCGCCCTTGTCAATGGGTCCATGTACAAGGTGGGCACGGTGACTCGCGGGGGCTCTGCACCTTCACCCCCTTCCCAAGCCTGCTCCGTCTGCTCTCCCAAGGCCTGGCATGGCACTGTCGTCGGCCCTCCTGCCCGGTCACTGTGAGCTGGCCACTCCTCTCGACTGGTGGGGTAGTGGTGGCTGCCAGCGACCACCCCCTCCCCGTGCCCCTTCAGGCCCAGCGGTGGCGAAGGCTCCCACTGTGCCATCAGGGGCTGCCATCCGTCATGCTCAACCCCGCCCACACCTCTGTAAGGAACTCCGTGATTAGATTTGCCTGTGCTTTTTGTGGTCAACAGTTTCACCTGGACTGAGCCAGGCAGTTCCTTTGCTGGCTTTGCCTGGGCTCACTGACATGGCCGTGGTCAGCTGCTGGCCCAATGAGGGCTGGACAGTCTGAGATGACCTCGGCCACATGTCTGGTGTGTGGTGCTGGCTGCGGCTGGGCTCCCATCTCCAGCAGGAGAGCCTGGGCTTCTCCACCCAGCAGCATTCCCAGAGGGGAGAGGAGAGACACAAGGCCTCTTGGAGCCCAGGAAAGTCCCTTCCATCACATTCTGTGTGAGCCACACACAGCCAGCCAACCAGCGTGGGAGGGGACCAAGAGACGAGATTCCCTGACGGCCATCACGCAGCCACGGACCACAGTAATAGCATAGAGAAAAGAGACTCCGTCAGTAGATCTGACTCTGCTCCTATGAAAAGTGAATAAAATGGAAAAGTTCACAAGTCTGAAAAAGAAAGAATGGAAAAAGCAGTAGGAACTTTAAACGGTGAGGCTGGGTGCAGTGGGGTCGCTACACCTGGAATCCCAGTGAGGCAGGAGGATCACCTGAGCCCAGGAGTTCAAGACCAGCCTGGGCAACATAGTGAGACCCTATCTCTACAAAAAAATTAACCAGGCGTGGTGGTGTGCACCTATAGACCCTGCTACTCAGGAGGCTGAAGCAGGAGGATTGCTTGAGCCTGGGAGTTTAAGACCACAGTGAGCTACCATCATGCCACTGCACTCAGCCTGGGTGATAGAGTAAGACCCTGCCTCTGAAAAAAAAAAAAAAAAAAAAGGATATTGGCCAGGCGCGGTGGCTCACACCTGTAATCCCAGCACTTTGGGAGGCCAAGGCAGGCGGATCACGAAGTCAGGAGTTCGAGACCATCGTGGCTAACATGGTGAAACCCTGTCTGTACTAAAAACATAAAAAAATTAGCCGGGCGTGGTGGCGGGCTCCCGTAGTCCCAGTTACTCGGGAGGCTGAGGCAGGAGAATGGCGTGAACCCAGGAGGCAGAGCTTGTAGTGAGTCGAGATTGCGCCACTGTACTCCAGCCTGGGCGACAGAGCGAGACTCGTCTCAAAAAAAAAAAAAACAAAAAAAAAACTTAGACAACCTGAATAGACCAATAACCATGGAAGAAACTGAGGCAGTATTAAAATACTCAACTCCCCTAAAAAAGACAGTGCCTCCAGATGCTTTAAAGATCTTCCACAACATAGAAAACCATGGAAACTTTCCACTACAACTCCAGCATGACCCTGATGTCCAAACCTACAAGGACAGCACAAAAAACAGAAACATACGCCAGCCTCATGAGTACAGGGCGCAAAACCCTTAAATAAAACGTGCGAATCAAATTCACTGATGTGCACCTGTGGTCTCAGCTACTCGGAAGGCAGAGGCAGGAGGATCACTTGAGGCCAGAAGCTCAAGACCCACCTGGTGAACCCATAGCAAAACCCACCTCTACAAATTTTAAAAGAAAAATTACCCGTGTATTAAAATAGTTGTTCATTCTGCCGCTTTCACTGCCCCAGCTCAGCAGACTGGCCGAAGGACGGCCGACCACCCCCTCCACCTATCGGCTCTGTCTGGGCCCTCAATAGGTTGGATGGTCCCACCTGTGCTCGGGAGAGGGTTGGCTTTCCTGGGTCCACCAAATCCAATGCTGACCTGTCAGCACCCTCACAGACACACCCAGAAACACATGTAACCAGCTATCAGGCATCCTGTGGCCCAGTCAATTGACACATAAAATTAAGCATCACTGGGGGCTCTGCTGCACATGCCTCACGTGGTGACTTCCGGGGGTCTCCAGAAAGCAGAGCCTGGGACAAGGCCTTGGAAGTAGTTTCTTTGGGGGGTGGTCTATTGAGGTAGGAGTGTGGGGGTGGGGAGTGTGAGTCGGGCCGGGAGGAAGCATCAGGAAGCGTGAGCACAGAGCTGTGGGCTGCAGGTGGGGCCGGGGCTCATTGCTGCTGGGACCCTCAAGGAACCAGGCCCAGAGGCTGGGGCAGCCCCTCCTGTGAGGACTGAGCCCCAAGGCACACAGCCCTGGATGGTCAGGCCCGGCTGTGGGGCCCTGCCCTGGGCACAGCCATGGCCACCTCTGCTGCTGATCCAGCCACAGTTAACGAGATTCTCTTCTCCCGGGTGGATGCCTCCCTGAATCCCGTTACCTATAGAGAAACCGGAAGCGGCAGCTCACAGCATCTCCCCAGCTGGCCACGTGCAGGGCTTCTGAGAGCTGCATGGTTCTGTGGGGTGGCTCAGGTGTCTCTGGGACAGTGTCCCCTTGCTGATAATGTCCCCACTCATTCCCAGCATTGAGATTATGGAGCAAGAGACAATGGCAGGGAGAAAGCATCCCAGGGAGCAGACCTGGGTCCACGTCTTGAGCCTCCAGCCTCCACCTGGCGACCCTCACAAGGGCGGCGTCAGCAGTGTCAGTGATGTTCTTGTTCTTGGTGCTGTCGCCTGAATTGGCCAAGCTCCGATTCCACGTGTGTAATGGTGGTGGCATTCCTCCCATACTGCTGGTCTGCAGGAGCACCTGGGGATTAAACAAGGTTGTGAGTGAGGCCCCGACATCAGCAGGCGGGCAGTAAGGGATTGCTGCCACTTCGGTTGTGCGTGGTGTTCCATCCTTAAAAGTAAAGGGCTGGGGTGAGGGGCAAGAGGGGAGATTGTGGAATCTCCACCAAATTTTCTCCTGTTCTCAGATGAACGTTTAGTTTGCAGAGGCTGTACATCATTAAACACAGCCACGAGTCGCTTAGGCACAGGGATTGAGGAGTGCGGCGTTGGGTGGTTTGGTCCCTGTGCACACATCACGGAGTGCACGCACACACACCTAGGTGGGAAAGACTGTGTGCTCAGGGTGCCTGATGGAGGGGATCACTCTGGGCTGCAAACTTTACAGCATGTTACTGTGTGGGAACTGCAGGCAACTGGAACGCAGTGGCCAGAATTTATGTATCCGGACACAGAGAAGGTACCATAAACCTACAGAATTGGAACCTTATGGAACCACCGTTGTGCATGCAGTCAGTCCACCAAAATCTTATGTGGTGTGTGACTGTTTACCTTTCTAGATCATTACAGACTATTTTCTGATTCATTTTTTCCACGTGATTAAAGCCCAAATTGAGGATTTCAGTGGGATTTAATGCGCTTTCCAGATCCCTTGGGAAACACAGAACATTTACCACCCGCAGCTTCCCAGGGTGCAGTACAGCTCCATCTCCCCCACACATCACGTGCAACAGACCCCAGACCTGGTTTCCTGTGTGACTAAACGTGCCCAGCCCAGCAACAGCCCCTCACCCCCGTCACGCCTTCGGTGAATTGCCAACATCGACTCCCAGAGCAACCTGCAGGCGCCGGTGTCATGGACACAGGTGGCCTGAGAAATGTGGGTGCCTTTTCCCCTCCTGAGGCTCTCCTTTAGGGTTAGGGCCCACCAGATGCTTTTTTTTTTTTTTTTTGAGAAATGGGCTCTCACTATGTTGCCCAGGCTGGTCTTGAACTCCTGGGTTCAAGTGATCCTCCCACCTTGGCCTCCCAAGGCACTAGGATTACAGGCAGGAACCGTTGTGCCAGCCTGTCTTGGAAGGCAAACACTTTACTATCTCCATACAAACCCAGAACGGGGCTGGGCAGGCAGGGCCCCACCTGCTCCTACGTTTTGGCTCTCCTTGCCCTCCATGGGCAATTTGTACCCGTGAAGGGGCTTTGCTCTTGGGGTCTGCTCTGGGGTTTCCCGGACATTTTATTGATGGCTTCATCCTAGGGCACGCGCCCTGGAAGCAGGCATGGTCCTGGGAACGTCCCATAGGTCAGCGGGCTCTTCATCATCAATCTGAACAGGTCCCTTCCCAATTCCCAATGAGGGAGTGAAGGAAAGACAGGAGCCCTCACCTCCCAGATGGAGACCAGCCCCCACAGAGACCCACTAGCCTTGTGGGGGGACCCCTCGCCACGGAGGGCCCAGCTTGGCAAGCAGTCGGCTTCAGCACTGCAGCCTGGAGGATGGCGTCTGGAAGTCGGCTCCATGTTCTCAGCCTTTGGATTTGGGACAGGTGCCACACAAGCCTTGCACAAGGGGTACAGAAGTGTTTGAGTCCCCAGATTCTCACTCTAGGGCTTTTTAGACTCTAATAACGCCCTAATTTGGTGTTTCCTGACAGCGAGGTATGTCTGCCTGACTCCCCGAGCCCGTTTCTGTGTCTTCTGCCCTGCAAGTGACCGTTTTCCTCAGCTCCATGGCTGTGGCCCTGGGTAGCCACCTCCACGGCGAGCCTGGGCTCCCTGGAGCTTTCTGGACCTGGCAGTGAGCTCAGGGTTGCAAGGCCCTCAGGCAGCCAAGATCTGCACCTAGGCGGCTGTGAGGCCGACACACGTCACCGCCTTCAAGCCTCTGCCTCATCCCAAGCCTCTCTGCAATTATTTACTGCGTAGTTTTTCTTTGAATGATGTCGGGTTTTTTTAAAGTAGAAAACGTCACTGCTTTAAATAACATTAATAGAGTGTGCTATGGACTAAACTGTGTCCCCCCCAAAACCCATGGGTTGAAGCCCCAACCCCCCAAGTGACTTAGCTGGAGATGGGGCCTTGCCGAGGGGACTGTGTCCTCAGGAGAAGAAAGAGTGAGTCTCTCTCTCTGTCTCTCTCTCCATCTCTAACTGTGTCCTCGGGAAAAGAAAGAATGAGGCTTTCTCTCTCACCTGTGTTCTCAGGAGAAGAAAGAGTGAGTCTCTCTCTCTGTCTCTCTCTCCATCTCTGTGTCCTCAGGAGAAGAGTGAGGCTTGCTTGCTCGCTTGCTCTCTCTCTTTTTCTCTCTCTCTCCCCATCACCCTCCGAAAGTGCACCCCTGGGCACACAGTGAGAAGGGCTGCGAGCCAGGGACAGAACTTCCAGAACCCTGAGCTTGGCTTCCAGCCTCCTGGGCAGCTAGAATTCAGTGTCTGTGGCTGAAGCGCCCCAGCTTGGGGTATTTTGCTAAAGCAGGCCCAGCTGATAAGACAAGGAAAACCCTTGGCCGGGCACGGTGGCTCACGCCTGTAATCCCAGCACTTTGGGAGGCCGAGGCGGGCAGATCACGAGGTCAGGAGATCAAGACCATCCTGGCTAACACGATGAAACCCCGTCTCTACTAAAAAAAAAATACAACAAAATTAGCCAGGCGTGGTGGCGGGCGCCTGTAGTCCCAGCTACTCGGAGGCTGAGGCAGGAGAATGGCGTGAACCCGGGAGGCGGAGCTTGCAGTGAGCCGAGATCGTGCCATTGCACTCCAGCCTGGGGGACAAAGCGAGACTCCGTCTCAAAAAAAAAAAGACAAGGAAAAAAGGAAAACCCCTCACCACCCACAGGGCACAGGCGGCCTCCCACCACCGCCACCGAATCAGGCCCAGAGTCTGACCTAGGACCCCCTCCCCTGCAGCCCCTGACCTCCTCTCCGCTTCCCATTCCTCCTCGGCCGAAATCTCAGCCCCTGAACCAAGCCCCGCCTGACTCCTGCCTGGGTCAAACCCTACTCCGGCCTGGACTCCAAACGCCGGGAGTCCGTCTGAGCACTTCCCGTCTGGAAACATCAGCAGGGTCACACTCATTCCTGGGGCAGGGGACGTGCAGCCCCCGACTCTGGGCGGCTCAGGTCTCTGTGCCCACCCCATGCCCAGCCTGATACACAACGGTTTCTCCTTTGCAGATTTGTTACAGGACCCTAACACGTACCCAGAGGCAGCCGTCAGGTCAGGGTTTCCGCACTAGAGTCCCTTCCGTGGTCGCTAGAAATATGTTACAGGAATGAGGTTTGGCTCCAGACCCCAAGGGAGGGCTCCTGGATCTCGTGCAAGAAAGAATTCAGGGCAAGTCCACAGTGCAAAGCAATAGCAAGTTTATTGCAAAAGTAAAGTGGTCAAAGAATAGCTCCTCCGTAGACAGAGCAGGGCATTCCCGGAAGTAAGAGGGGGAACGCGTGCACCGTAGGTGCGGTGCTGGTGTACACGGGGAGGCGTGCTCGGATGCAAGGGTTTGTGATAAAGGATTAATTTTCTTTCTTTCTTTTTTTTTTTTTTGAGACAGAGTCTCACTCTGTTGCCCAGGCTGGAATGCAGTGGCATGATCTCAGCTCACTGCAACCTCTCCGCCTCCCCGGTTCAAGCGCTTCTCGTGTCTCAGCCTCCCGAGTAGCTGGGAATACAGGTGCCCGCCACCACGCCCGGCTGATTTTTGTATTTTTAGTAGAGACGGGGTTTCGCCATGTTGGCCAGGCTGGTCTCGAACTCTTGACCTCAGGTGATCCACCCACCTCGGCCTCTCAAAGCGCTGGGATTACAGACGTGAGCCACCGCACCCAGCCTATTTTCTTAATTACTATATTTTGCCAGGATCGATATTATCTTTAAAGCAAAATTAGGAATGCCTTTGTTCTCCAGATATGGGCTATCTGGACACTCCCAAGTCTGAGTCTGTGTAGTAAACATTACTAACCTGTTCCCTTAACCGTAAACATCCAGAGGCCAGGAATGCCAGACTTTCTGAGAATGCAGCCCACCAAGTCCCAGACCCTACTCAAGATGGAGTCACTCTGGTTCGAACGCTTCTGACAGATGTGTCCAATGCATGGATGAAATTCTGCCAAGATGTTCTGCATCTTGTGCAACCCCTCCAACCCCTTTCCTCCCGAGTGTGCATTTCATCCCCATTCTGTCTGGCTTCTGTGGACGCAGGAGGGCTGTTCCCGCCTGCTCAGGAGGGAGGCGGGGAGGAGTGGACGGGGGAGAGGGGCCCCCCACGCCTCTCTGGGCTCAGGGTCCCATCTGGTCCTCACAGGGCTGGGGCTTCCCATCTGAGGTCCCCGGCAGTGCATCCAACAAGCCAAAGTGGAAACAACCGCCAGGCGCCACCCAGGCCCTGGGTGAGGGCGGGACCACGGACCCCAGGACTCCTCCCCGCAGAGACTCCGCAGGGTCCTCCTGCTCTTTCCACACCCAGCACCCGCAAACGGAGCGGGGGCGGGGCCGGGCTTCCAAAAGTCCCTGTGGCCAGGAAGGAAGGGCGTGTCCTGGGCCGGAGCGCCGGGGCTGGGCCCCTGGGATTCTCTGCGTCCAGCAGCACAGCAGGGTCCTCCACAGCCGTGCCCCGTGCTCTGGCCCTGGCAGCCTGGAGGCGGCGGCGGTGATCACCGGTCTGTTCTGGAGAGAGGGCAGCTACTCCATGGCGCCCTCTTGGAGAAAATTTCATGAACCAGACACCTCCGGCCAGGCCAGCCCTTCCTCATGCAGGTCCCTGAAGCCTCATCAGCAAAGCCCACTCTCAGAAAAATTCTTTTCATTGTTTACTAAGTGCCACTACATGGAAGCTGAGAGAAATAGGATTTGTGGAAGAGAGTACTGCAGAATACTGCTATTGGCTGTATTTTACGATTATCTCTAGTTAGAAATTGTTTCTTGGTATTCAAGGTTTAAAAGAACAAAAAATCTGCAGCCTGATGGTGGGTTAAGTAACATTCTGTAGCTTTGGAGAGTGGAAAACCATCAGACCAAGTAAGTACTGGCTGAGCTGGCAGCTCTGACGTTCCTCTGTGACACGGGCTTTTATTCTGCGCACGTGTCGGGATCTGCCTGTACTGAGAGGTTCCGCGCGGCTTCGTTAAAACGGCTTTGAGGAGGAAGTGGAGATCCTGTTAGACAGGAGTCATCTCCATGCACAGACGGCCCCAGAGGTGCCCCCACCCGCGTGGGAAGCGACTGCCTAGGTCCCAGGGGGTGACCAGCTCTTGTCAGTGGAATGAGTTGAGGGGAGAGTCACTTCCAACTGGGGGCTTCTCCCCATCTGCTGGAGGGATGGACTCCAAGAGCCCTGGGGAGGCAGAGCCACAGATGAGGGCTTGGAGTCTGGCTCTGGGGTGTGAGCCACTGTGCGTGTGGGAGTCATCCACATGAGGACCTGAGGGTGACAGACGTGCTGCCAAAGTCCATGTGGCTCACGGGCTGCTTCCATCCTTCCGGACGTGGCTGGCTCTGATTCAAAGGCTGTTTTGTGGGGCCTGTTCCCCAGCGAATGCATGGGACCACAGACCAAGGGGGGCAGCAGGCAGTCCACTCGGGGACCTGGGCCACCCGTCAGGCTCAAGCAGACACCTTTGTGTCACAATGACCTGACCACCCCCGTCAGGCTCAAGCAGACACCTTTGTGTCACAATGAGGGCTCCCCCTGAAGAGGTGGCTGCCCCAAGTCACTCTGGGCTCACGGTGGATGCATGGTGGACAGCGGCCGCACGGTGGCCTTTGTGATGGACTCTGGGGCAGACAGGCTTCTCTGTAACATGGGCCTTGCAGAGCTAGTCCAGAATGCTGGGGGTGCACTGGGTACCTGCTGGGACCGCCCGTCAAGTGAGCACCGAGAACTGAACTGCCACGGCCACCGCCTGACTGCGGCCTGCAAGCAGCACCATTCGGCAGAGGGGGGACTGCAGGCGTGCTGCCAGGCTGGGGGTCAGGGGAGCCCCAGGACCACCTGCAGCAGGACAAGAGCGTGTCTCACCACCCTCCTGCTGCCTTCTCAGAAGCTGTGTCTGCCCCCGGCCCGAAGCCAGTGACAGGATGGAGTCAACATCCCGCCCACTCTTCTGGCCTCCCCACTTCACACCCAGGCCCAGTCCTTGCCTTCAGCCGCTGTGGTCCCCATGTTCTCGCCTCTGCCCAGGCCAGCCCCAGTCTGTCTGTCCTCGAGTGTGCTGAACACACTGGACACCCCACTCCCCTCCATCTGTCCTGCCAGGGATTAGATCCCCACAGTCAGGCATCTTCTTTGGAGGGAAATTTGGCAGATTCTAGTCAACGTTTCAAGTACACATCACACACCCTTTGATCCAGAATTCTACTTCTAGAAGCTGACCTCACAGCTGAGTCAAATGCCACACCGAGGCAGCACGAACTGGACTGCAGGTGGAAGCTACGCCTCCCAAAGCAGACGGGTGGGACTGGGTGAGGACACTGACGGTCCTGAGAAGCCCTGCACCTGGTGCCCCACGGAGGCCGAAGGACAGACTGGCTTTGGAAGGCACACAAGACCAGCTAACAGGGACGCTGGCCTGGGCACCCACAGTGACTGCATTTTTATTTTTAGTTTTTGAGACAGAGTCTCGCTCTGTTGCCCAGGCTGGAGTGCAATGGCATGGTCTCAGCTCACTGCAACCTCCACCTCCTGGGTTCAAGCAGTTCACCAGCCTCAGCCTCCCGAGTAGCTGGGATTACAGGCGTACACCACCACACTCGGCTAATTTTTGTATTTTTAGCGGAAACGAGGTTTCACCATGTTGGCCAGGCTGGTCTCGAACTCCTGACCTCAGGTGATCCGCCCGCCTCGGCCTCCTAAAGTGCTGGAATTACAGGTGTGAGGCACCACGCCCGGCCAGTGACTGTATTTTTAACCTGCACGATATTTTTTTTTTTTGAAGAGCAGACATCAGAGAGGAAGTATTTTACTCACCAACCATTCCTTTTAAAGCAGAAATCTCAGTGTAATCAGAAAACTTCCAACTTTATAATTTTTTTTTTTGAGACAGTGTTTTTGCTCTCGTCGCCCAGGCTGGAGTGCAATGGCATGGTCTCAGCTCACTGCAACCGCCACCTCCTGGGTTCAAGTGATTCTACTGCCTCAGCCTCCCGAGTAGCTGGGATTACAGGCGCACGCCACCACGCCCGGCTAATTTTTTCTATTTTTAGTAGAGACAGGGTTTCACCATGTTGGTCAGGCTGGTCTTAAACTCCTGACCTGAGTGATCCACAAGCCTTGGCCTCCCAAAGTGCTGGGATTACAGGCGTGAGCACTGTGCCCGGCCAGAAAATTTGCAACTTCTTAAACGATTCTAAGCCTAATGTTTCTGACAAGGATGAGCCTCTCAAACGAGATACTGGGCACTAAGACCACACCATAGCAGTGCGTCTGGGGGCAGCACCATGGCAGTGTGTCTGGGGGCAGGAGTCGCAACCTCACGTCTCCCCGTTCCAGATGCAAGTCTGCAGTTGCCACACATTCCTGAATGAGCCGGAAGCGGGTCGAGCACAGGGGGTTTCCGCCGCAGACGGGCTGGTGCTCGTAGCCACAAACGCTGGGCCCTGCGGGGCAGGTCCACGGGACAGACAGACATACCAATACTCTGCTGCTCGGACTCAACCCTGTGTCCCAGAGGACTGAAGTGGCAGGAGCAACACAGAAGGGGGCCGGGGTGGGGGGGCACTCCCTAAAAACCTGGCACGGAGACACCCAGGGAAGGACGCGAGGGGAGCAGGGAGCGCGGGAGCCTCATGCAGGTGTGCGTTTCACACGGGGGGGCCAAGGTCGCCCTTCCCGAGGCAGCCCTGCCTTCTCCCCCGGCCCTCGGCACCCAGCGCGAGTGGAGGGCATGCGGTGCGCAGGGCAGCTGTGGAGGGCAGAGACAGCCAAGACCTCCCCTGCGAGGCAGGCCCGTGGGCACAGTTTTAGGACACAGCCTGGTCCGTTCTGACAGCCACAGGCATTTAGTCTGGAGACTGCCCAGGCATCCCACGATGGGTCAGAGGCCCACTTTACCCAAAAAAGCCTACCTGCCTCCCAGCATTCCAAGCGGTCATGTCGACACCACTGAGATGGAACACAGGAACACGCAGCATACTAAACACACGCAGGTAGTAAACCGTTTTATTGGAAACTGGTTAAAAATTAAGGCACTCCAAGCTTTATGGTTTCCTTGAGGTTACAGTTTTGTGGCTGCTCTTAGTGTATTTCAGAAAAAAGCAGATGGACGAAGACCGACCTTACAGACGTGGGTTTCTACACTGAGCGCAAGGGCTGACTACGCTGTATTTCACAACCGAGCCCTAGCGCCAGCTCAGCACCCTACGCTCAGGAAGCGGATTTTGCACACACACTACTGCATTCATACAGAGTTCACTGAAGTCTATTACCAAGTGTCTTTTATGAATAAACAATACAAAGTCCAATTTTGATGGCTGCTATAAAATACTTAGGAATCTCTGCAATACTTTACTACAAATACAAATGCCCAAGAGGTCAGGGAAATCAGCCTGAAGAACTGGGTACAGGTTCTATTCTTTGTGGAAATTTCAGCCTAGGAATGTTATTCCCGGTACAGATGTACACAGTCAAAAAGGCTTATCGAGCTGTTTGACGAGTTCTTGAAGTGTTCTGGATCAGTGATCTGCCTGTGAACTTTAGTTCACGCTGAAGACAGTCTTCTCAGTTTTCATGACTGTGAAGTGTGAAAATGGAACGCATCCTTGATCTTAGGTGCTGCTGACCTACTTTCCCAAAGCAAAATGTTTTAAAATTCAAGGCAATCTGGAACAGGGACTATTTCCAAACTTCCTTAGGCAGCACTTTTCAGTGACTTCCCCGCACGCTGCTTTCCCTGCCACGAAGCGCTTGGTCTGCTTACTAAAGCCACGTATCCTGATTTTACAGAAACGTGGGCAGGTCCAGCAGTGCCACTGGAGAGCTCCCAGAGAAGCCCACTCAGAAGGAAGTGGTCAGACCACCCTCGAGCCAGAGCGGCTGGAAGCTGGACTGGTCCCATGAGGCAGAAGGAGCACCAGCGCCTGCTGGGTGGTGTGGGGAGAGCCCTCAGCTGACTCTGGACACACCTGCTTCCGGGGCACGTGGCCCAGAGCCGGGCCTGTGGACGGGCCTTTCTTTCTTCTTGGGGTGGACCCCGTCCCCACGATCCCTAAATGGCCACCCCCCAGACAGCCCAACAGGCAGCGAGAGGCCTGCAGGCACTGAGGATGCCAACAGGGCTGGAGAGAGCTGCAGCGTCCTGCCCCGTCCTCCCCACACCGCTGGCACACGAGCAGTCAACTGGTGCTGCTGAGGCAGGCCAAACACCACATTTATAATTCAAGCTTCCAAGGGAAAAAGATTCTCATGTTCTAGTAAAGATACAAATTTTAAAAATTGTCCAAAAAGGGCCTGAATTTTTATATGAAGGTTTTCTGGTGAAATCTTTTAAGCAGGGAGGAAAATCCAATAAATTTTTTTAAAAAGGTTTAGCTATTCCCCAATGCTATTTAATACAATTGAGGTTAGGACGTTAAGTCCTTATCAGACTGTGTACTGGAGCCCCGTGTCATCAGCAAAAGCCGTGTGAGTCAACAGGTGTGAAGACTCAAGATGCGCACACAGACGCTGTCCGTGGTTTTATGGGGAATGATGAGGGCTGGTCAGTTCTCCTCATGACAAAAGTCAAACCGACTTCCCTGTGTTGCGTGTGAAGCTTGTTAGTGGACAGAGAGAAACGCAGGGTTCTGCCCTGGGAGAATGACAGCCACAGCGCTGGGTGCCGTCAGGCGGCTTCGTGTGCAGTTAGCGTTTCACAAACTGAGAAGAGTATAAAAAAGCCCAAACCCCAAAGATTTCTTATTTCAAGTGACTAAATCTAGAAACAGAGATGAACAGGGAATAGAAGGTCACCAGTCTGCAAGACGAGAGGACTGTCCTTCAGGGGCAGCTCTCCGGCCGCCTGTCCTGGAAGGCTGGCAGGTTCACTGGCCAAGGTCAGGAGACCGCAATGGCCACGTGGTCTCCCGGCTGGGCTGGGCTGCGGAGCGTGCACCTCACAGGAAGCGTCGGGACTGATGTGCTGGAGCGCTTTAGTTGTTTTCAAATCTAGCATACGGGTTTTCTTCTTTAAACAGGCCTGAAACAAAATAAACTTGAATCATAACTTCATTCATTCAACCAGAAACAAAATCTTAGAAAGCCATACAAACCAAGCTTTATAAGAAGATTTACTGAGGCTATAGCAACAACGGGCATTGTAAGCAGGCTCTCATACAGTGCTTAACCTTTTTTGAAGTCAAACCACTTTAAACTTTAAAACTGAAATAAAATTTACTAGAAACAAGAACTCTAACAGATCCTAAGAGATAAGCACTTACTTCCTGATGCTCGGCGAAGAAAAGAAATTTAAGGCAAGTATTTCTTTCCACAGTGGTTGGCTAGTTCCACAGTGGATGGCTACTATTAAACAAAATAACCTTACTTTGTGCTTATAGCTGCTCTTAAACCTTTGGAATTAAGGCTACAGAAAGAACTAAGATGACCATCAATCTAACTCTCGAGTACTCTGACAAAACTGGGATAAAATGTGTATTTAATCATAAGAGTAAACCTGTGCTACTTACCCAAAGACCAGGAGTTTTCCCTTCACACTGCAGAAACACACACACATACACACACTCTCTCTCCCTTTATTTTTTATTTTTTTTTGAGACAGAGTTTTGCTCTTGTTGCCCAGGATAGAGTGCAATGGCGCAGTCTCGGCTCACTGCAATCTCCGCCTCCTGGGTTCAAGGAATTCTCCTGCCTCAGCCTCCGGGTAGCTAGGACTGCAGGCACCCACCACCATACTTGGCTAATTTTTGTATTTTTAGTAGAGACGGGGTTTCACCATGTTGGTCAGGCTGGTCTCGAACTCCCAACCTCAGGTGATCCACCACCTTGGTCTCCCAAAGTGTTGGGATTACAGGCGTGAGCCACCGTGCCTGGCCTCTCTCTCCCTTTAACAATCTGTATTGTACACTAAAATTATCTGCAGCGATTACAACAAAGCTACTCACTGCATGTATTCTGGGGGCTGGGTGGAAGAGGCGGCGGGGAAGCAGAGGGATGGTAAGGAAGGGCCTAGCCATGTTTCTTTCTTGCCTGTCAAGGAGGGCCACAGGCATCAGGCTTTGGGAGTGAGGCTCAAAGTCGGTTTTGGGAAAGAGTCATCAGATACTAGCAAGGAGGCTGGTTAAGTTCTTATTGAAAAACTCGCTCCTGAGTCTACTTCCAGTTTAGAGGGAAAACCAAAACCAAAAGAAGGGTTTTTGCGTGCGTGCTGGTATTTTATATAACTGCACCAGGTGGACTCACATGCTTTCTCGCACTCTCCCATCAGGAATTCCTAGGAATTCTTCTAACTAGCCGAGGCTTTCCAAAGCACAGGCCATTCAATGGCTTTATTACAAACTGGCACAAAAAGCTCATTTCATCAATGCAATTAAAGGGCCAAATTAACCACCAAAATGGCAAGTGCAAGTCAATCAGGGCCCTGACACAGAAGACACCACTCCAAGAGCCTGGCCGGCCACCCACAGCCTCACACCCGCTGGGAGTCAGGGCACAGTAAAGGTCGAGCAACTTAAACACAGCTTGTGCTTGGTGATAACAGGTGCTGGGCAGTGTGTGCGTGTGTGCGCGTGTGCGTGTGTGTGTATCCACCTTGTCTTTTATTTACATTAACATTAGTCTGGCTGGG